>NC_000002.12:93465133-93598695 GCF_000001405.40 Homo sapiens
ATTTCTAGTTCTAGACCCTGAGGAATCGCCACACTGCACTTCCACAATGGTTGAACTAGTTTAAAGTCCCACCAACAGTGTAAAAGTGTTCCTATTTCTCCGCATCCTCTCCAGCACCTTTTTTGTAGTATCTGGAAGTGGACATTTGGAGAGTTCTCAGGAATACGGTGAAAAAGGAAATATCTTCCAATAAAAGCTAGATAGAAGAGCAATGTCAGAAACTTTTTCATGATGTATCTACTCAGCTAAAAGAGTTGAACCTTTCTTTTGAAAGAGCAGTTTTGAAACACTCTTTTTGTGGAATCTGCAAGTGGATATTTGTCTAGCTTTGAGGATTTCGTTGGAAACGGGATTACATATAAAAAGCAGACAGCAGCATTCCCAGAAACTTCTTTGTGAAGTTTGCATTCAAGTCACAGAGTTGAACATTCCCTTTCATAGAGCAGGTTTGAAACACTCTTTTTGTAGTATCTGTATGTGGACATTTGCAGCGCTTTCAGGCCTATGGTGAAAAAGGAAATATCTTCCCCTGAAAACTAGACAGAAGCATTCTCAGAAACTTATTTGTGATGTGCGCCCTCAACTAACAATGTTGAACCTTTCTTTTGATAGAGTAGTTTTGAAACACTCTTTTTGTAAAATCTGCAAGAGGATATTTGGATAGCTTTGAGGATTTCGTTGGAAACGGGATTGTCTTCATATAAACTCTAGAAAGTAGCATTCTCAGAAGCGTCATTGGGATGTTTCAATTGAAGTCACAGTGTTGAACAGTCCCTTTCATAGAGCAGGTTTGAAACACTCTTTTTGTAGTATCTGGATGTGGACATTTGGAGCGCTTTCAGGCCTATGGTTTAAAAGGAAATATCTTCCCCTGAAAACTAGACAGAAGCATTCTCAAAATCTTATTTGTGATGTGCGCCCTCAACTAACAGTGTTGAAGCTTTCTTTTGATAGAGCAGTTTTGAAACACTCTTTTTGTGGAATCTGTAAGTGGATATTTGTCTAGCTTTGAGGATTTCGTTGGAAACGGGATTACATATAAAAAGCAGACAGCAGCATTCTCAGAAACTTATTTGTGATGTGCGCCCTCAACTAACAGTGTTGAAGCTTTCTTTTGATAGAGCAGTTTTGAAACACTCTTTTTGTAATATCTGCAAGAGGATATTTGGATAGCTTTGAGGATTTCGTTGGAAACGGGATTAATTATACAAAGCAGACAGCAGCATTCTCAGTAACTTCATTGGGATGTTTCAATTGAAGTCACAGTGTTGAACAGTCCCTTTCATAGAGCAGGTTTGAGACACTCTTTTTGTAGTATCTGGAAGTGGACATTTGGAGCGCTGTCAGGACTACGGTGAAAAAGGAAATATCTTCCAATAAAAGCTAGATAGAAGCAATGTCAGAAAATTTGTCATGATGTATCTACTCAGCTAACAGAGTTGAACCTTTCTCTTGAGAGAGCAGTTTTGAAACACTCTTTTTGTGGAATCTGCAAGTGGATATTTGTCTAGATTTGAGGATTTCGTTGGAAACGGGATTACATATAAAAGCAGAGAGCAGCATTCTCAGAAACTTCTTTGTGATGTTTGCATTCAAGTCACAGATTTGAACATTCCCTTTCATAGAGCAGGTTTGAAACACTCTTTTTGTAGTATCTGGAAGTGGACATTTAGAGTGCTCTCAGGACTACGGTGAAAAAGGAAATATCTTCCAATAAAAGCTACATAGAAGCATTCTCAGAATCTTATTTGTGATGTGCGCCCTCAACTAACAGTGTTGAAGCTTTCTTTTGATAGAGCAGTTTTGAAACACTCTTTTTGTAAAATCTGCAAGAGGAAATTTGGATAGCTTTGAGGATTTCGTTGGAAACGGGATTGTCTTCATATAAACTCTAGACAGAAGCATTCTCAGAAGCGTCATTGGGATGTTTCAATTGAAGTCACAGTGTTGAACAGTCCCTTTCATAGAGCAGGTTTGAAACACTCTTTTTGTAGTATCTGGATGTGGACATTTGGAGCGCTTTCAGGCCTATGGTTTAAAAGGAAATATCTTCCCCTGAAAACTAGACAGAAGCATTCTCAGAAACTTATTTGTGATTTGCGCCCTCAACTAACAGTGTTGAAGCTTTCTTTTGATAGAGCAGTTTTGAAACACTCTTTTTGTGGAATCTGCAAGGGGATATTTGTCTAGCTTTGAGGATTTCGTTGGAAACGGGATTACATATAAAAAGCAGACAGCAGCATTCTCAGAAACTTATTTGTGATGTGCGCCCTCAACTAACAGTGTTGAAGCTTTCTTTTGATAGAGCAGTTTTGAAACACTCTTTTTGTAATATCTGCAAGAGGATATTTGGATAGCTTTGAGGATTTCGTTGGAAACGGGATTAATTATACAAAGCAGACAGCAGCATTCTCAGAAGCTTCATTGGGATGTTTCAGTTGAAGTCACAGTGTTGAACAGTCCCTTTCATAGAGCAGGTTTGAAACACTCTTTTTGTAGTATCTGGAAGTGGACATTTGGAGCGCTCTCAGGACTGCGGTGAAAAAGGAAATATCGTCCAATAAAAGCTACATAGAAGCAATGTCAGAAACTTTTTCATGATGTATCTACTCAGCTAACAGAGTTGAACCTTTCTTTTGAGAGAGCAGTTTTGAAACACTCTTTTTGTGGAATCTGCAAGTGGATATTTTGTCTAGCTTTGAGGATTTCGTTGGAAACGGGATTACATATAAAAAGCAGACAGCAGCATTCCCAGAAACTTTTTTGTGATGTTTGCATTCAAGTCACAGAGTTGAACATTCCCTTTCATAGAGCAGGTTTGAAACACTCTTTTTGTAGTATCTGGATGTGGATATTTGGATCGCTTTCAGGCCTATGGTGAATAAGGAAATATCTTCCCCTGAAAACTAGACAGAAGCATTCTCAGAAACTTATTTGTGATGTGCGCCGTCAACTAACAGTGTTGAACCTTTCTTTTGATAGAGTAGTTTTGAAACACTCTTTTTGTAAAATCTGCAAGAGGATATTTGGATAGCTTTGAGTATTTCGTTGGAAACGGGATTGTCTTCATATAAACTCTAGACAGTAGCATTCTCAGAAGCTTCATTGGGATGTTTCAATTGAAGTCACAGTGTTGAACAGTCCCTTTCATAGAGCAGGTTTGAAACACTCTTTTTGTAGTATCTGGATGTGGACATTTGGAGCGCTTTCAGGCCTATGGTGAAAAAGGAAATATCTTCCCCTGAAAACTAGACAGAAGCATTCTCAGAAACTTATTTGTGATGTGCGCCTTCAACTAACAGTGTTGAAGCATTCTTTTGATAGAGCAGTTTTGAAACACTCTTTTTGTGGAATCTGCAAGTGGATATTTGTCTAGCTTTGAGGATTTCGTTGGAAACGGGATTACATATAAAAAGCAGACAGCAGCATTCTCAGTAAACTTATTTGTGATGTGCGCCCTCAACTAACAGTGTTGAACCTTTCTTTTGATAGAGCAGTTTTGAAACACTCTTTTTGTAATATCTGCAAGAGGATATTTGGATAGCTTTGAGGATTTCGTTGGAAACGGGATTGTCTTCATATAAACTCTAGACAGAAGCATTCTCAGAAGCTTCATTGGGATGTTTCAATTGAAGTCACAGTGTTGAACAGTCCCTTTCATAGAGCAGGTTTGAAACACTCTTTTTGTAGTATCTGGAAGTGGACATTTGGAACGCTCTCAGGACTGCGGTGAAAAAGGAAATATCTTCCAATAAAAGCTAGATAGAAGCAATGTCAGAAACTTTTTCATGATGTATCTACTCAGCTAACAGAGTTGAACCTTTCTTTTGAGAGAGCAGTTTTGAAACACTCTTTTTGTGGAATCTGCAAGTGGATATTTGTCTAGCTTTGAGGACTTCCTTGGAAACGGGATTACATATAAAAAGCAGACAGCAGCATTCCCAGAATCTTGTTTGTGATGTTTGCATTCAAGTCACAGAGTTGAACATTCCCTTTCAGAGAGCATGTTTGAAACACTCTTTTTATAGTGTCTGGATGTGGACATTTGGAGCGCTTTCAGGCCTATGGTGAAAAAGGAAATATCTTCTCCTGTAAACTAGACAGAAGCATTCTCAGAAACTTATTTGTGATGTGCGCCCTCAACTAACGGTGTTGAACCTTTCTTTTGAAAGAGCAGTTTTGAAACACTCTTTTTGTAAAATCTGCAATAGGATATTTGGATAGCTTTGAGGATTTCGTTGGAAACGGGATTGTCTTCATATAGAATCTAGACAGAAGCATTCTCAGAAGCTTCATTGGGATGTTTCAATTGAAGTCACAGTGTTGAACAGTCCCTTTCATAGAGCAGGTTTGAAACACTCTTTTTGTAGTATCTGGAGGTGGACATTTGGAGCGTTCTCAGGACTACGGTGAAAAAGGAAATATCTTCCAATAAAAGCTAGATAGAAGCATTCTCAGAAACTTATTTGTGATGTGCGCCCTCAACTAACAGTGTTGAAGCTTTCTTTTGATAGAGCAGTTTTGAAACACTCTTTTTGTGGAATCTGCAAGTGGATATTTGTCTAGCTTTGAGGATTTCGTTGGAAACGGGATTACATATAAAAAGCAGACAGCAGCATTCTCAGTAAACTTATTTGTGATGTGCGCCCTCAACTAACAGTGTTGAACCTTTCTTTTGATAGAGCAGTTTTGAAACACTCTTTTTGTAATATCTGCAAGAGGATATTTGGATAGCTTTGAGGATTTCGTTGGAAACGGGATTGTCTTCATATAAACTCTAGACAGAAGCATTCTCAGAAACTTCATTGGGATGTTTCAATTGAAGTCACAGTGTTGAACAGTCCCTTTCATAGTGCAGGTTTGAAACACTCTTTTTGTAGTATCTGGAAGTGGACATTTTGAGCGCTCTCAGGACTTCGGTGAAAAAGGAAATATCTTCCAATAAAAGCCAAATAGAAGCAATGTCAGAAACTTTTTCATGATGTATCTACTCAGCTAACAGAGTTTAACCTTTCTTTTGAGAGAGCAGTTTTGAAACATTCTTTTTGTGGAATCTGCAATTGGATATTTCTCTAGCTTTGAGGATTTCGTTGGAAACGGGATAACATATAAAAAGCTACAGCAGCATTCCCAGAAACTTCTTTGTGATGTTTGCATTCAAGTCACAGAGTTCTACATTCCCTTTCATAGAGCAGGTTTGAAACACTCTTTTTGTAGTATCTGGAAGTGGACATTTAGAGCGCTCTCAAAACTATGGTGAAAAAGGAAATATCTTCCAATAAAAGCTAGATAGAAGCATTCTCAGAAACTTATTTGTGATGTGCGCCCTCAACTAACAGTGTTGAAGCTTTCTTTTGATAGAGCAGTTTTGAAACACTCTTTTTGTAAAATCTGCAAGAGGATATTTGGATAGCTTTGAGGATTTCGTTGGAAACGGGATTGTCTTCATATAAACTCTAGACAGAAGCATTCTCAGAAGCTTCATTGGGATGTTTCAATTGAAGTCACAGTGTTGAACAGTCCCTTTCATAGAACAGGTTTGAAACACTCTTTTTGTAGTATCTGGATGTGGACATTTGGAGCGCTTTCAGGCCTACGGTGAAAAAGGAAATATCTTCCCCTGAAAACTAGACAGAAGCATTCTCAGAAACTTATTTGTGATGTGCGCCCTCAACTAACAGTGTTGAACCTTTCTTTTGATAGAGCAGTTTTGAAACACTCTTTTTGTAATATCTGCAAGAGGATATTTGGATAGCTTTGAGGATTTCGTTGGAAACGGGATTAATTATAAAAAGCAGACAGCAGCATTCTCAGTAAACTTATTTGTGATGTGCGCCCTCAACTAACAGTGTTGAACCTTTCTTTTGATAGAGCAGTTTTGAAACACTCTTTTTGTAATATCTGCAAGAGGATATTTGGATAGCTTTGAGGATTTCGTTGGAAACGGGATTGTCTTCATATAAACTCTAGACAGAAGCATTCTCAGAAGCTTCATTGGGATGTTTCAATTGAAGTCACAGTGTTGAACAGTCCCTTTCATAGAGCAGGTTTGAAACACTCTTTTTGTATCATCTGGAAGTGGACATTTGGAGCGTTCTCAGGACTACGGTGAAAAAGGAAATATCTTCCAATAAAAGCTAGATAGAAGCAATGTCAGAAAATTTTTCATGATGTATCTACTCAGCTAACAGAGTTGAACCTTTCTTTTGAGAGAGCAGTTTTGAAACACTCTTTTGGTGGAATCTGCAAGTGGATATTTGTCTAGCTTTGAGGATATCGTTGGAAACGGGATTACATATAAAAAGCAGACAGCAGCATTCCCAGAAACTTCTTTGTGATGTTTGCATTCAAGTCACAGAGTTGAACATTCCCTTTCATAGAGCAGGTTTGAAACACTCTTTTTGTAGTATCTGGAAGTGGACATTTGGAGCGCTCTCAGGACTACGGTGAAAAAGGAAATATCTTCCAATAAAAGCTAGATAGAAGCAATGTCAGAAACATTTTCATGATGTATCTACTCAGCTAACAGAGTTGAACCTTTCTTTTGAGAGAGCAGTTTTGAAACACTGTTTTTGTGGAATCTGCAAGTGGATATTTGTCTAGCTTTGAGGATTTCGTTGGAAACGGTATTACATATAAAAAGCAGACAGCAGCATTCCCAGAAACTTCTTTGTGATGTTTGCATTCAAGTCACAGAGTTGAACATTCCCTTTCATAGAGCAGGTTTGAAACACTCTTTTTGTAGTATCTGGATGTGGACATTTGGAGCGCTTTCAGGCCTATGGTGAAAAAGGAAATATCTTCCCCTGAAAACTAGACAGAAGCATTCTCAGAAACTTATTTGTGATGTGCGCCCTCAACTAACAGTGTTAAACCTTTCTTTTGATAGAGTAGTTTTGAAACACTCTTTTTGTAACATCTGCAAGAGGATATTTGGATAGCTTTGAGGATTTCGTTGGAAACGGGATTGTCTTCATATAAACTCTAGACAGTAGCATTCTCAGAAGCTTCATTGGGATGTTTCAATTGAAGTCACAGTGTTGAACATTCCCTTTCATAGAGCAGGTTTGAAACACTCTTTTTGTAGTATCTGGATGTGGACATTTGGAGCGCTTTCAGGCCTATGGTTTAAAAGGAAATATCTTCCCCTGAAAACTAGACAGAAGCATTCTCAGAAACTTATTTGTGATGTGCGCCCTCAACTAACAGTGTTGAACCTTTCTTTTGATAGAGCAGTTTTGAAACACTCTTTTTGTAATATCTGCAAGAGGATATTTGGATAGCTTTGAGGATTTCGTTGGAAACGGGATTACATATAAAAAGCAGACAGCAGCATTCTCAGAAACTTATTTGTGATGTGCGCCCTCAACTAACAGTGTTGAAGCTTTATTTTGATAGAGCAGTTTTGAAACACTCTTTTTGTAATATCTGCAAGAGAATATTTGGATAGCTTTGAGGATTTCGTTGGAAACGGGATTGTCTTCATATAAACTCTAGAAAGAAGCATTCTCAGAAGCTTCATTGGGATGTTTCAACTGAAGTCACAGTGTTGAACAGTACCTTTCATAGAGCAGGTTTGAAACACTCTTTTTGTAGTATCTGGAAGTGGACATTTGGAGCGCTCTCAGGACTACGGTGAAAAAGGAAATATCTTCCAATAAAAGCTAGATAGAAGCAATGTCAGAAACTTTTTCATGATGTATCTACTCACCTAACAGAGTTGAACCTTTCTTTTGAGAGAGCAGTTTTGAAACACTCTTTTTGTGGAATCTGCAAGAGGATACTTGTCTAGCTTTGAGGATTTCGTTGGAAACGGGATTACATATAAAAAGCAGACAGCAGCATTCCCAGTAATCTTCTTTGTGATGTTTGCATTCAAGTCACAGAGTTGAACATTCCCTTTCATAGAGCAGGTTTGAAACACTCTTTTTGTAGTATCTCGATGTGGACATTTGGAGCGCTTTCAGGCCTATGGTGAAAAAGGAAATATCTTCTCCTGAAAACTAGACAGAAGCATTCTCAGAATCTTATTTGTGATGTGCGCCCTCAACTAACAGTGTTGAAGCTTACTTTTGATAGAGCAGTTTTGAAACACTCTTTTTGTAAAATCTGCAAGAGGATATTTGGATAGCTTTGAGGATTTCGTTGGAAACGGGGTTGTCTTCATATAAACTCTAGACAGAAGCATTCTCAGAAGCTTCATTGGGATGTTTCAATTGAAGTCACAGTGTTGAACAGTCCCTTTCATAGAGCAGGTTTGAAACACTCTTTTTGTAGTATCTGGAAGTGGACATTTGGAGCGCTCTCAGGACTACGGTGAAAAAGGAAATATCTTCCAATAAAAGCTACATAGAAGCAATGTCAGAAACTTTTTCATGATGTATCTACTCAGCTAACAGAGTTGAACCTTTCTTTTGAGAGAGCAGTTTTGAAACACTCTTTTTGTGGAATCTGCAAGTGGATATTTGTCTAGCATTGAGGATTTCGTTGGAAACGGGATTACATATAAAAAGCAGACAGCAGCATTCCCAGAAACTTCTTTGTGATGTTTGCATTCAAGTCACAGAGTTGAACATTCCCTTTCATAGAGCAGGTTTGAAACACTCTTTTTGTAGTATCTGGATGTGGACATTTGGAGCGCTTTCAGGCCTATGGTGAAAAAGGAAATATCTTCCCCTGAAAACTAGACAGAAGCATTCTCAGAAACTTATTTCTGATGTGCGCCCTCAACTAACAGTGTTAAACCTTTCTTTTGATAGAGTAGTTTTGAAACACTCTTTGTAAAATCTGCAAGAGGATATTTTGATAGCTTTGAGGATTTCTTTGGAAACGGGATTGTCTTCATATAAAATCTAGACAGAAGCATTCTCAGAAGCTTCATTGGGATGTTTCAATTGAAGTCACAGTGTTGAACAGTCCCTTTCATAGAGCAGGTTTGAAACACTCTTTTTGTAGTATCTGGATGTGGACATTTCGAGCGCTTTCAGGCCTATGGTGAAAAAGGAAATATCTTCCCCTGAAAACTAGACAGAAGCATTCTCAGAAACTTATTTGTGATGTGCGCCCTCAACTAACAGTGTTGAAGCATTCTTTTGATAGAGCAGTTTTGAAACACTCTTTTTGTGGAATCTGCAAGTGGATATTTGTCTAGCTTTGAGGATTTCGTTGGAAACGGGATTACATATAAAAAGCAGACAGCAGCATTCTCAGAAACTTATTTGTGATGTGCGCCCTCAACTAACAGTGTTGAAGCTTTATTTTGATAGAGCAGTTTTGAAACACTCTTTTTGTAATATCTGCAAGAGAATATTTGGATAGCTTTGAGGATTTCGTTGGAAACGGGATTGTCTTCATATAAACTCTAGAAAGAAGCAGTCTCAGAAGCTTCATTGGGATGTTTCAATTGAAGTCACAGTGTTCAACAGTCCCTTTCATAGAGCAGGTTTGAAACACTCTTTTTGTAGTATCTGGAAGTGGACATTTGGAGAGATCTCAGGAATACGGTGATAAAGGAAATATCTTCCAATAAAAGCTAGATAGAAGCAATGTCAGAAACTTTTTCATGATGTATCTACTCAGCTAACAGAGTTGAACCTTTCTTTTGAGAGAGCAGTTTTGAAACACTCTTTTTGTGGAATCTGCAAGTGGATATTTGTCTAGCTTTGAGGATTTCGTTGGAAACAGGATTGTCTTCATATAAACTCTAGACAGAAGCATTCCCAGAAACTTCTTTGTGATGTTTGCATTCAAGTCACAGAGTTGAACATTCCCTTTCATAGAGCAGGTTTGAAACACTCTTTTTGTAGTATCTGGATGTGGACATTTGGAGCGCTCTCAGGCCTATGGTGAAAAAGGAAATATCTTCCCCTGCAAACTAGACAGAAGCATTCTCAGAAACTTATTTGTGATGTGCGCCCTCAACTAACAGTGTTGAAGCTTTCTTTTGATAGAGCAGTTTTGAAACACTCTTTTTGTAATATCTGCAAGAGGATATTTGGATAGCTTTGAGGATTTCGTTGGAAACGGGATTGTCTTCATATAAACTCTAGGCAGAAGCATTCTCAGAAGCGTCATTGGGATGTTTCAATTGAAGTCACAGTGTTGAACAGTCCCTTTCATAGAGCAGGTTTGAAACACTCTTTTTGTAGTATCTGGATGTGGACATTTGGAGCGCTTTCAGGCCTATGGTTTAAAAGGAAATATCTTCCCCTGAAAACTAGACAGAAGCATTCTCAGAAACTTATTTGTGATGTGCGCCCTCAACTAACAGTGTTGAAGCTTTCTTTTGATAGAGCAGTTTTGAAACACTCTTTTTGTGGAATCTGCAAGTGGATATTTGTCTAGCTTTGAGGATTTCGTTGGAAACGGGATTACATATAAAAAGCAGACAGCAGCATTCTCAGAAACTTATTTGTGATGTGCGCCCTCAACTAACAGTGTTGAAGCTTTCTTTTGATAGAGCAGTTTTGAAACACTCTTTTTGTAATATCTGCAAGAGGATATTTGGATAGCTTTGAGGATTTCGTTGGAAACGGGATTAATTATACAAAGCAGACAGCAGCATTCTCAGAAGCTTCATTGGGATGTTTCAATTGAAGTCACAGTGTTGAACAGTCCCTTTCATAGAGCAGGTTTGAAACACTCTTTTTGTAGTATCTGGAAATGGACATTTGGAGCGCTCTCAGGACTACGGTGAAAAAGGAAATATCTTCCAATAAAAGCCAGATAGAAGCAATGCCAGAAACTTTTTCATGATGTATCTACTCAGCTAACAGAGTTGAACCTTTCCTTTGAGAGAGCAGTTTTGAAACACTCTTTTTGTGGAATCTGCAAGTGGATATTTGTCTAGCTTTGAGGATTTCGTTGGAAACGGGATTACATATAAAAAGCAGACAGCAGCATTCCCAGAAACTTCTTTGTGATATTTGCATTCAAGTCACAGACTTGAACATTCCCTTCCATAGAGGAGGTTTGAAACACTCTTTTTGTAGTATCTGGATGTGGACATTTGGAGCGCTTTCAGGCCTATGGTGAAAAACGAAATATCTTCCCCTGAAAACTAGACAGAAGCATTCTCAGAAAATTATTTGTGATGTGCGCCCTCAACTAACAGTGTTGAAGCTTTCTTTTGATAGAGCAGTTTTGAAACACTCTTTTTGTAAAATCTGCAAGAGGATATTTGGATAGCTTTGAGGATTTCGTTGGAAACGGGATTGTCTTCATATAAACTCTAGACAGAAGCATTCTCAGAAGCTTCATTGGGATGTTTCAATTGAAGTCACAGTGTTGAACAGTCCCTTTCATAGAGCAGGTTTGAAACACTCTTTTTGTAGTATCTGGATGTGGACATTTGGAGCGCTTTCAGGCCTATGGTGAAAAAGGAAATATCTTCCCCTGAAAACTAGACAGAAGCATTCTCAGAAACTTATTTGTGATGTGCGCCCTCAACTAACAGTGTTGAAGCTTTCTTTTGATAGAGCAGTTTTGAAACACTCTTTTTGTGGAATCTGGAAGTGGATATTTGTCTAGCTTTGAGGATTTCGCTGGAAACGGGATTACATATAAAAAGCAGACAGCAGCATTCTCAGAATCTTATTTGTGATGTGCGCACTCAACTGACAGTGTTGAAGCTTTCTTTTGATAGAGCAGCTTTGAAACACTCTTTTTGTAAAATCTGCAAGAGGATATTTGGATAGCTTTGAGGATTTCGTTGGAAACGGGATTGTCTTCATATAAACTCTAGACAGAAGCATTCTCAAAAGCTTCATTGGGATGTTTCAATTGAAGTCACAGTGTTGAACAGTCCCTTTCATAGAGCAGGTTTGAAACACTCTTTTTGTAGTATCTGGAAGTGGACATTTGGAGCGCTCTCAGGACTATGGTGAAAAAGGAAATATCTTCCAATAAAAGCTAGATAGAAGCAATGTCAGAAACTTTTTCATGATGTATCTACTCAGCTAACAGAGTTGAACCTTTCTTTTGAGAGAGCAGTTTTGAAACACTCTTTTTGTGGAATCTGCAAGTGGATATTTGTCTAGCTTTGAGGATTTCGTTGGAAACGGGATTACATATAAAAAGCAGACAACAGCATTCCCAGAAACTTCTTTGTGATGTTTGCATTCAAGTCACAGAGTTGAACATTCCCTTTCATAGAGCAGGTTTGAAACACTCTTTTTGAAGTATCTGGATGTGGACATTTGGAGCGCTTTCAGGCCTATGGTGAAAAAGGAAATATCTTCCCCTGAAAACTAGACAGAAGCATTCTCAGAAACTTATTTGTGATGTGCGCCCTCAACTAACAGTGTTGAAGCTTTCTTTTGATAGAGCAGTTTTGAAACACTCTTTTTGTGGAATCTGCAAGTGGATATTTGTCTAGCTTTGAGAATTTCGTTGGAAACGGGATTACATATAAAAAGCAGACAGCAGCATTCTCAGTAAACTTATTTGTGATGTGCGCCCTCAACTAACAGTGTTGAACCTTTCTTTTGATAGAGCAGTTTTGAAACACTCTTTTTGTAATATCTGCAAGAGGATATTTGGATAGCTTTGAGGATTTCGTTGGAAACGGGATTGTCTTCATATAAACTCTAGACAGAAGCATTCTCAGAAGCTTCATTGGGATGTTTCAATTAAAGTCACAGTGTTGAACAGTCCCTTTCATAGAGCAGGTTTGAAACACTCTTTTTGTAGTATCTGGAAGTGGACATTTGGAGCGCTCTCAGGACTGCGTTGAAAAAGGAAATATCTTCCAATAAAAGCTAGATAGAAGCAATGTCAGAAACTTTTTCATGATGTATCTACTCAGCTAACAGAGTTGAACCTTCCTTTGAGAGAGCAGTTTTGAAACACTCTTTTTGTGGAATCTGCAAGTGGATATTTGTCTAGCTTTGAGGATTTCGTTGGAAACGGGTTACATATAAAAAGCAGACAGCAGCATTCCCAGTAACTTCTTTGTGATGTTTGCATTCAAGTCACAGAGTTGAACATTCCCTTTCATAGAGCAGGTTTGAAACACTTTTTTTGTAGTATCTGGATGTGGACATTTGGAGCGCTTTCAGGCCTATGGTGAAAAAGGAAATATCTTCCAATAAAAGCTACATAGAAGCATTCTCAGAATCTTATTTGTGATGTGCGCCCTCAACTAACAGTGTTGAAGCTTTCTTTTGATAGAGCAGTTTTGAAACACTCTTTTTGTAAAATCTGCAAGAGGATATTTGGATAGCTTTGAGGATTTCGTTGGAAACGGGATTGTCTTCATATAAACTCTAGACAGAAGCATTCTCAGAAGCTTCATTGGGATGTTTCAATTGAAGTCACAGTGTTGAACAGTCCCTTTCATAAAGCAGGTTTCAAACACTCTTTTTGTAGTATCTGGATGTGGACATTTGGAGCGCTTTCAGGCCTCTGGTTTAAAAGGAAATATCTTCCCCTGAAAACTAGACAGAAGCATTCTCAGAAACTTATTTGTGATGTGCGCCCTCAACTAACAGTGTTGAAGGTTTCTTTTGATAGAGCAGTTTTGAAACACTCTTTTTGTAATATCTGCAAGAGGATATTTGGATAGCTTTGAGGATTTCGTTGGAAACGGGATTAATTATAAAAAGCAGACAGCAGCATTCTCAGAAACTTATTTGTGATGTGCGCCCTCAACTAACAGTGTTGAAGCTTTCTTTTGATAGAGCAGTTTTGAAACACCCTTTTTGTAAAATCTGCAAGAGGATATTTGGATAGCTTTGAGGATTTCGTTGGAAACGGGATTGTCTTCATATAAAATCTAGACAGAAGCATTCTCAGAAGCTTCATTGGGATGTTTCAATTGAAGTCACAGTGTTGAACAGTCCCTTTCATAGAGCAGGTTTGAAACACTCTTTTTGTAGTATCTGGAAGTGGACATTTGGAGCGTTCTCAGGACTACAGTGAAAAAGGAAATATCTTCCAATAAAAGCTACATAGAAGCAGTGTCAGAAACTTTTTCATGATGTATCTACTCAGCTAACAGAGTTGAACCTTTCCTTTTAGAGAGCAGTTTTGAAACACTCTTTTTGTGGAATCTGCAAGTGGATATTTGTCTAGCTTTGAGGATTTCGTTGGAAACGGGATTACATATGAAAAGCAGACAGCAGCATTCCCAGAATCTTCTTTGTGATGTTTGCATTCAAGTCACAGAGTTGAACATTCCCTTTCATAGAGCAGGTTTGAAACACTCTTTTTGTAATATCTGGATGTGGACATTTGGAGCGCTTTCAGGCCTATGGTGAAAAAGGAAATATCTTCCCCTGAAAACTAGACAGAAGCATTCTCAGAATCTTATTTGTGATGTGCGCCCTCAACTAACAGTGTTGAAGCTTTCTTTTGATAGAGCAGTTTTGAAACACTCTTTTCGTAAAATCTGCAAGAGGATATTTGGATAGCTTTGAGGATTTCGTTGGAAACAGGATTGTCTTCATATAAACTCTGATGAAGAAGCATTCTCAGAAGCTTCATTGGGATGTTTCAATTGAAGTCACAGTGTTGAACAGTCCCTTTCATAGAGCAGGTTTGAAACACTCTTTTTGTAGTATCTGGATGTGGACATTTGGAGCGCTTTCAGGCCTATGGTGAAAAAGGAAATATCTTCCCCTGAAAACTAGACAGAAGCATTCTCAGAAACTTATTTGTGATGTGCGCCCTCAACTAACAGTGTTGAAGCATTCTTTTGATAGAGCAGTTTTGAAACACTCTTTTTGTGGAATCTGCAAGTGGATATTTGTCTAGCTTTGAGGATTTCGTTGGAAACGGGATTACATATAAAAAGCAGACAGCAGCATTCTCAGAAACTTATTTGTGATGTGCGCCCTCAACTAACAGTGTTGAAGCTTTCTTTTGATAGAGCAGTTTTGAAACACTCTTTTTGTAATATCTGCAAGAGGATATTTGGATAGCTTTGAGGATTTCGTTGGAAACGGGATTAATTATACAAAGCAGACAGCAGCATTCTCAGAAGCTTCATTGGGATGTTTCAATTGAAGTCACAGTGTTGAACAGTCCCTTTCATAGAGCAGGTTTGAAAAACTCTTTTTGTAGTATCTGGAAGTGGACATTTGGAGCGCTCTCAGGAATATGGTGAAAAAGGAAATATCTTCCAATAAAAGCTAGATAGAAGCAATGTCAGAAACACTTTCATGATGTATCTACTCAGCTAACAGAGTTGTAACTTTCTTTTGAGAGAGCAGTTTTGAAACCCTCTTTTTGTGGAATCTGCAAGTGGATATTTGTCTAGCTTTGAGGATTTCGTTGGAAACGGGATTACATATAAAAAGCAGACTGCAGCATTCCCAGAAACTTCTTTGTGATGTTTGCATTCAAGTCACAGAGTTGAACATTCCCTTTCATAGAGCAGGTTTGAAACACTCTTTTCGTAGTATCTGGATGTGGACCTTTGGAGCGCTTTCAGGCCTATGGTGAAAAAGGAAATATCTTCCCCTGAAAACTAGACAGAAGCATTCTCAGAAACTTATTTGTGATGTGCGCCCTCAACTAACAGTGTTGAAGCTTTCTTTTGATAGAGCAGTTTTGAAACACTCTTTTTGTAATATCTGCAAGAGGATATTTGGATAGCTTTGAGGATTTCGTTGGAAACGGGATTGTCTTCATATAAACTCTAGACAGAAGCATTCTCAGAAGCTTCATTGGGATGTTTCAATTGAAGTCACAGTGTTGAACAGTCCCTTTCATAGAGCAGGTTTGAAACACTCTTTTTGTAGTATCTGGATGTGGACATTTGGAGCGCTTTCAGGCCTATGGTTTAAAAGGAAATATCTTCCCCTGAAAACTAGACAGAAGCATTCTCAGAAACTTATTTGTGATGTGCGCCCTCAACTAACAGTGTTGAAGCTTTCTTTTGATAGAGCAGTTTTGAAACACTCTTTTTGTGGAATCTGGAAGTGGATATTTGTCTAGCTTTGAGGATTTCGTTGGAAACGAGATTACATATAAAAAGCAGACAGCAGCATTCTCAGAAACTTATTTGTGATGTGCGCCCTCAACTAACAGTGTTGAAGCTTTCTTTTGATAGAGCAGTTTTGAAACACTCTTTTTGTAATATCTGCAAGAGGATATTTGGATAGCTTTGAGGATTTCGTTGGAAACGGGATTAATTATACAAAGCAGACAGCAGCATTCTCAGAAGCTTCATTGGGATGTTTCAATTGAAGTCACAGTGTTGAACAGTTCCTTTCATAGAACAGGTTTGAAACACTCTTTTTGTAGTATCTGGAAGTGGACATTTGGAGTGCTCTCAGGACTATGGTGAAAAAGGAAATATCTTCCAATAAAAGCTACATAGAAGCAATGTCAGAAACTTTTTCATGATGTATCTACTCAGCTAACAGAGTTGAACCTTTCTTTTGAGAGAGCAGTTTTGAAACACTCTTTTTGTGGAATCTGCAAGTGGATATTTGTCTAGCTTTGAGGATTTCGTTGGAAACGGGATTACATATAAAAAGCAGACAGCAGCATTCCCAGTAACTTCTTTGTGATGTTTGCATTCAAGCCAGAAGAGTTGAACATTCCCTTTCATAGAGCAGGTTTGAAACACTCTTTTTGAAGTATCTGGTTGTGGACATTTGGAGCGCTTTCAGGCCTATGGTGAAAAAGGAAATATCTTCCCCTGAAAACTAGACAGAAGCATTCTCAGAATCTTATTTGTGATGTGCGCCCTCAACTAACAGTGTTGAAGCTTTCTTTTGATAGAGCAGTTTTGAAACACTCTTTTTGTAAAATCTGCAAGAGGATATTTGGATAGCTTTGAGGATTTCGTTGGAAACGGGATTGTCTTCATATAAACTCTAGACAGAAGCATTCTCAGAAGCTTCATTGGGATGTTTCAATTGAAGTCACAGTGTTGAACAGTCCCTTTCATAGAGCAGGTTTGAAACACTCTTTTTGTAGTATCTGGATGTGGACATTTGGAGCGCTTTCAGGCCTATGGTTTAAAAGGAAATATCTTCCCCTGAAAACTAGACAGAAGCATTCTCAGAAACTTATTTGTGATGTGCGCCCTCAACTAACAGTGTTGAAGCTTTCTTTTGATAGAGCAGTTTTGAAACACTCTTTTTGTGGAATCTGCAAGTGGATGTTTGTCTAGCTTTGAGGATTTCGTTGGAAACGGGATTACATATATAAAGCAGACAGCAGCATTCTCAGAAACTTATTTGTGATGTGCGCCCTCAACTAACAGTGTTGAAGCTTTCTTTTGATAGAGCAGTTTTGAAACACTCTTTTTGTAATATCTGCAAGAGGATATTTGGATAGCTTTGAGGATTTCGTTGGAAACGGGATTAATTATACAAAGCAGACAGCAGCATTCTCAGAAGCTTCATTGGGATGTTTCAATTGAAGTCACAGTGTTCAACATTCCCTTTCATAGAGCAGGTTTGAAACACTCTTTTTGTAGTACCTGGAAGTGGATATTTGGAGCGTTCTCAGGAATACGGTGAAAAAGGAAATATCTTCCAATAAAAGCTAGATAGAAGAAATGTCAGAAACTTTTTCATGATGTATCTACTCAGCTAACAGAGATGAACCTTTCCTTTGAGAGAGCAGTTTTGAAACACTCTTTTTGTGGAATCTGTAAGTGGATATTTGTCTAGCTTTGAGGATTTCGTTGGAAACGGGATTACATATAAAAAGCAGACAGCAGCATTCCCAGAAACTTCTTTGTGATGTTTGCATTCAAGTCACAGAGTTGAACATTCCCTTTCATAGAGCAGGTTTGAAACACTCTTTTTGTAGTATCTGGATGTGGACATGTGGAGCGCTTTCAGGCCTATGGTGAAAAAGGAAATATCTTCCCCTGAAAACTAGACAGAAGCATTCTCAGAATCTTATTTGTGATGTGCGCCCTCAACTAACAGTGTTGAAGCTTTCTTTTGATAGAGCAGTTTTGAAACACTCTTTTCGTAAAATCTGCAAGAGGATATTTTGATAGCTTTGAGGATTTCGTTGGAAACGGGATTGTCTTCATATAAACTCTAGACAGAAGCATTCTCAGAAGCTTCATTGGGATGTTTCAATTGAAGTCACAGTGTTGAACAGTCCCTTTCATAGAGCAGGTTTGAAACACTCTTTTTGTAGTATCTGGATGTGGACATTTGGAGCGCTTTCAGGCCTATGGTTTAAAAGGAAATATCTTCCCCTGAAAACTAGACAGAAGCATTCTCAGAAACTTATTTGTGATGTGCGCCCTCAACTAACAGTGTTGAACCTTTCTTTTGAGAGAGCAGTTTTGAAACACTCTTTTTGTGGAATCTGCAAGTGGATATTTGTCTAGCTTTGAGGATTTCGTTGGAAACGGGATTACATATAAAAAGCAGACAGCAGCATTCTCAGCAAACTTATTTGTGATGTGCGCCCTCAACTAACAGTGTGGAACTTTTCTTTTGATAGAGCAGTTTTGAAACACTCTTTTTGTAAAATCTGCAAGAGGATATTTGGATAGCTTTGAGGATTTCGTTGGAAACGGGATTGTCTTCATATAGAATCTAGACAGAAGCATTCTCAGAAGCTTCATTGGGATGTTTCAATTGAAGTCACAGTGTTGAACAGTCCCTTTCATTGAGCAGGTTTGAAACACTCTTTTTGTAGTATCTGGAAGTGGACATTTGGAGAGATCACAGGAATACGGTGATAAAGGAAATATCTTCCAATAAACGCTACATAGAAGAAATGTCAGAAAATTTTTCAAGATGTATCTACTCAGCTAACAGAGTTGAACCTTTCTTTTGAGAGAACCGTTTTGAAACACTCTTTGTGTGGAATCTGCAAGTGGATATTTGTCTAGGTTTGAGGATTGCGTATGAAACGGGATTACATATAAAAAGCAGACAGCAGCATTCCCAGAAACTTCTTTGTGATGTTTGCATTCAAGTCACAGGGTTGAACATTCCCTTTCATAGAGCAGGTTTGAAACACTCTTTTTATAGTATCTGGATGTGGACATTTGCAGCGCTTTCAGGCCTAAGGTGAAAAAGGAAATATCTTCCCCTGAAAACTAGACAGAAGCATTCTCAGAATCTTATTTGTGATGTGCGCCCTCAACTAACAGTGTTGAAGCTTTCTTTTGATAGAGGAGTTTTGAAACACTCTTTTTGTAAAATCTGCAAGAGGATATTTGGATAGCTTTGAGGATTTCGTTGGAAACGGGATTGTCTTCATATAAACTCTAGACAGAAGCATTCTCAGAAGCTTCATTGGGATGTTTCAATTGAAGTCACAGTGTTGAACAGTCCCTTTCATAGAGCAGGTTTGAAACACTCTTTTTGTAGTATCTGGATGTGGACATTTAGAGCGATTTCAGGCCTATGGTGAAAAAGGAAATATCTTCCCCTGAAAACTAGACAGAAGCATTCTCAGAAACTTATTTGTGATGTGCGCCCTCAACTAACAGTGTTGAAGTTTTCTTTTGATAGAGCATTTTTGAAACACTCTTTTTGTGGAATCTGCAAGTGGATATTTGTCTAGCTTTGAGGATTTCGTTGGAAACGGGATTACATATAAAAAGCAGACAGCAGCATTCCCAGAATCTTCTTTGTGATGTTTGCATTCAAGTCACAGAGTTGAACATTCCCTTTCATAGAGCAGGTTTGAAACACTCTTTTTGTAGTATCTGTATGTGGACATTTGGAGCGCTTTCAGGCCTATGGTGAAAAAGGAAATATCTTCCCCTGAAAACTAGACAGAAGCATTCTCAGAATCTTATTTGTGATGTGCGCCCTCAACTAACAGTGTTGAAGCTTTCTTTTGATAGAGCAGTTTTGAAACACTCTTTTTGTAAAATCTGCAAGAGGATATTTGGATAGCTTTGAGGATTTCGTTGGAAACGGGATTGTCTTCTTATAAACTCAAGACAGAAGCATTCTCAGAAGCTTCATTGGGATGTTTCAATTGAAGTCACAGTGTTGAACAGTCCCTTTCATAGAGCAGGTTTGAAACACTCTTTTTGTAGTATCTGGATGTGGACATTTGGAGCGCTTTCAGGCCTATGGTTTAAAAGGAAATATCTTCCCCTGAAAACTAGACAGAAGCATTCTCAGAAACTTATTTGTGATGTGCGCCCTCAACTAACAGTGTTGAAGCATTCTTTTGATAGAGCAGTATTGAAACACTCTTTTTGTGGAATCTGCAAGTGGATATTTGTCTAGCTTTGAGGATTTCGTTGGAAAAGGGATTACATATAAAAAGCAGACAGCAGCATTCTCAGAAACTTATTTGTGATGTGCGCCCTCAACTAACAGTGTTGAAGCTTTATTTTGATAGAGCAGTTTTGAAACACTCTTTTTGTAATATCTGCAAGAGAATATTTGGATAGCTTTGAGGATTTCGTTGGAAACGGGATTGTCTTCATATAAACTCTAGAAAGAAGCATTCTCAGAAGCTTCATTGGGATGTTTCAATTGAAGTCACAGTGTTGAACAGTCCCTTTCATAGAGCAGGTTTGAAACACTCTTTTTGTAGTATCTGGAAGTGGACATTTGGAGAGATCTCAGGACTACGGTGAAAAAGGAAATATCTTCCAATAAAAGCTAGATAGAAGCAATGTCAGAAAATTTTTCATGATGTATCTACTCAGCTAACAGGGTTGAACCTTTCTTTTGAGAGAGCAGTTTTGAAACACTCTTTTTGTGGAATCTGCAAGTGGATATTTGTCTAGCTTTGAGGATTGCGTTGGAAATGGGATTACATATAAAAAGCAGACAGCAGCATTCCCAGAAACTTCTTTGTGATGTTTGCATTCAAGTCACAGAGTTGAACATTCCCTTTCATAGAGCAGGTTTGAAACACTCTTTTTGTAGTATCTGGATGTGGACATTTGGAGCGCTTTCAGGCCTATGGTGAAAAAGGAAATATCTTCCCCTGAAAACAAGACAGAAGTATTCTCAGAAACTTATTTGTGATGTGCGCCCTCAACTAACAGTGTTGAAGCTTTCTTTTGAAAGAGCAGTTTTGAAACATTCTTTTTGTAAAATCTGCAAGAGGATATTTGGATAGCTTTGAGGATTTCGTTGGAAACGGGATTGTCTTCATATTAACCCTAGACAGTAGCATTCTCAGAATCTTCATTGGGATGTTTCAATTGAAGTCACAGTGTTGAACAGTCCCTTTCATAGAGCAGGTTTGAAACACTCTTTTTGTAGTATCTGGATGTGGACATTTGGAGCGCTTTCAGGCCTATGGTTTAAAAGGAAATATCTTCCCCTGAAAACTAGACAGAAGCATTCTCAGAAACTTATTTGTGATGTGCGCCCTCAACTAACAGTGTTGAAGCTTTCTTTTGATAGAGCAGTTTTGAAACACTCTTTTTGTGGAATCTGCATGTGGATATTTTTCTAGCTTTGAGGATTTCGTTGGAAACGGGATTACATATAAAAAGCAGACAGCAGCATTCTCAGAAACTTATTTGTGATGTGCGCCCTCAACTAACAGTGTTGAAGCTTTATTTTGATAGAGCAGTTTTGAAACACTCTTTTTGTAATATCTGCAAGAGAATATTTGGATAGCTTTGAGGATTTCGTTGGAAACGGGATTGTCTTCATATAAACTCTAGAAAGAAGCATTCTCAGAAGCTTCATTGGGATGTTTCAATTGAAGTCACAGTGTTGAACAGTTCCTTTCATAGAGCAGGTTTGAAACACTCTTTTTGTAGCATCTGGAAGTGGACATTTGGAGCGTTCTCAGCACTACGGTGCAAAAGGAAATATCTTCCAATAAAAGCTAGATAGAAGCAATGTCAGAAACTTTTTCATGATGTATCTGCTCAGCTAACAGAGTTGAACCTTTCTTTTGAGAGAGCAGTTTTGAAACACTCTTTTTGTGGAATCTGCAAGTGGATATTTGTCTAGCTTTGAGGATTTCGTTGGAAACGGGATTACATATAAAAAGCAGACAGCAGCATTCCCAGTAACATCTTTGTGATGTTTGCATTCAAGTCACAGTGTTGAACATTCCCTTTCATAGAGCAGGTTTGAAACACTCTTTTTGTAGTATCTGGATGTGGACATTTGGAGCACTTTCAGGCCTATGGTGAAAAAGGAAATATCTTCCCCTGAAAACTAGACAGAAGCATTCTCAGAATCTTATTTGTGATGTGCGCCCTCAACTAACAGTGTTGAAGCTTTCTTTTGATAGAGCAGTTTTGAAACACTCTTTTCGTAAAATCTGCAAGAGGATATTTTGATAGCTTTGAGGATTTCGTTGGAAACGGGATTGTCTTCATATAAACTCTAGACAGAAGCATTCTCAGAAGCTTCATTGGGATGTTTCAATTGAAGTCACAGTGTTGAACAGTCCCTTTCATAGAGCAGGTTTGAAACACTCTTTTTGTAGTATCTGGATGTGGACATTTGGAGCGCTTTCAGGCCTATGGTGAAAAAGGAAATATCTTCCCCTGAAAACTAGACAGAAGCATTCTCAGAAACTTATTTGTGATGTGCGCCCTCAACTAACAGTGTTGAACCTTCCTTGGAGAGAGCAGTTTTGAAACACTCTTTTTGTGGAATCTGCAAGTGGATATTTGTCTAGCTTTGAGGATTTCGTTGGAAACGGGATTACATATAAAAAGCAGACAGCAGCATTCTCAGCAAACTTATTTGTGATGTGCGCCCTCAACTAACAGTGTGGAACTTTTCTTTTGATAGAGCAGTTTTGAAACACTCTTTTTGTAAAATCTGCAAGAGGATATTTGGATAGCTTTGAGGATTTCGTTGGAAACGGGATTGTCTTCATATAGAATCTAGACAGAAGCATTCTCAGAAGCTTCATTGGGATGTTTCAATTGAAGTCACAGTGTTGAACACTCCCTTTCATAGAGCAGGTTTGAATCACTCTTTTTGTAGTATCTGGAAGTGGACATTTGGAGCGCTCTCAGGACTACGGTGAAAAAGGAAATATCTTCCAATAAAAGCTACATAGAAGCAATGTCAGAAACTTTTTCATGATGTATCTACTCAGCTAACAGAGTTGAACCTTTGTTTTGAGAGAGCCGTTTTGAAACACTCTTTTTGTGGAATCTGCAAGTGGATATTTGTCTAGCTTTGAGGATTCCGTTGGAAACGGGATTACATAGAAAAAGCAGACAGCAGCATTCCCAGAAACTTCTTTGTGAAATTTGCATTCAAGTCACAGACTTGAACATTCCCTTTCATAGAGCAGGTTTGAAACACTCTTTTTGTAGTATCTGGATGTGGACGTTTGGAGCGCTTTCAGGCCTATGGTGAAAAAGGAAATATCTTCCCCTGAAAACTAGACAGAAGCATTCTCAGAAACTTATTTGTGATGTGCGCCCTCAACTAACAGTGTTGAAGCTTTCTTTTGATAGAGTAGTTTTGAAACACTCTTTTTGTAAAATCTGCAAGAGGATATTTGGATAGCTTTGAGGATTTCGTTGGAAACGGGATTGTCTTCATATAAACTCTAGACAGTAGCATTCTGAGAAGCTTCATTGGGATGTTTCAATTGAAGTCACAGTGTTGAACAGTCCCTTTCATAGAGCAGGTTTGAAACACTCTTTTTGTAGCATCTGGAAGTGGACATTTGGAGCGCTCTCAGGACTACGGTGAAAAAGGAAATATCTTCCAATAAAAGCTAGATAGAAGAAATGTCAGAAACTTTTTCATGATGTATCTACTCAGCTAACAGAGTTGAACCTTTCCTTTGAGAGAGCAGTTTTGAAACACTCTTTTTGTGGAATCTGTAAGTGGATATTTGTCTAGCTTTGAGGATTTCGTTGGAAACGGGATTACATATAAAAAGCAGACAGCAGCATTCCCAGAAACTTCTTTGTGATATTTGCATTCAAGTCACAGTCTTGAACATTCCCTTTCATAGCGCAGGTTTGAAACACTCTTTTTGAAGTATCTGGATGTGGACATTTGGAGCGCTTTCAGGCCTATGGTGAAAAAGGAAATATGTTCCCCTGAAAACTAGACAGAAGCATTCTCAGAAACTTATTTGTGATGTGCGCCCTCAACTAACAGTGTTGAAGCTTTCTTTTGATAGAGCAGTTTTGAAACACTCTTTTTGTAAAATCTGCAAGAGGACATTTGGATAGCTTTGAGGATTTCGTTGGAAACGGGATTGTCTTCATATTAACCCTAGACAGTAGCATTCTCAGAAGCTTCATTGGGATGTTTCAATTGAAGTCACAGTGTTGAACAGTCCCTTTCATAGAGCAGGTTTGAAACACTCTTTTTGTAGTATCTGGATGTGGACATTTGGAGCGCTTTCAGGCCTATGGTGAAAAAGGAAATATCTTCCCCTGAAAACTAGACAGAAGCATTCTCAGAAACTTATTTGTGATGTGCGCCCTCAGCTAAGAGTGTTGAAGCATTCTTTTGATAGAGCAGTTTTGAAACACTCTTTTTGTGGAATCTGCAAGTGGATATTTGTCTAGCTTTGAGGATTTCGTTGGAAACGGGATTACATATAAAAAGCAGACAGCAGCATTCCCAGAAACTTCTTTGTGATGTTTGCATTCACGTCACAGAGTTGAACATTCCCTTTCATAGAGCAGGTTTGAAACACTCTTTTTGTAGTATCTGGATGTGGACATTTGGAGCGCTTTCAGGCCTATGGTGAAAAAGGAAATATCTTCCCCTGAAAACTAGACAGAAGCATTCTCAGAAACTTATTTGTGATGTGCGCCCTCAACTAACAGTGTTGAAGCTTTCTTTTGATAGAGCAGTTTTGAAACACTCTTTTTGTAAAATCTGCAAGAGGATATTTGGATAGCTTTGAAGATTTCGTTGGAAACGGGATTGTCTTCATATAAACTCTAGACAGAAGCATTCTCAGAAGCTTCATTGGGATGTTTCAGTTGAAGTCACAGTGTTGAACAGTCCCTTTCATAGAGCAGGTTTGAAACACTCTTTTTGTAGTATCTGGAAGTGGACATTTGGAGTGCTCTCAGGACTGCGGTGAAAAAGGAAGTATCTTCCAATAAAAGCTACATAGAAGCATTCTCAGAAACTTATTTGTGATGTGCGCCCTCAACTAACAGTGTTGAAGCTTTCTTTTGATAGAGCAGTTTTGAAACACTCTTTTTGTGGAATCTGCAGTTGGACATTTGTCTAGCTTTGAGGATTTCGTTGGAAACGGGATTACATATAAAAAGCAGACAGCAGCATTCTCAGAAACTTATTTGTGATGTGCGCCCTCAACTAACAGTGTTGAAGCTTTCTTTTGATAGAGCAGTTTTGAAACACTCTTTTTGTAATATCTGCAAGAGGATATTTGGATAGCTTTGAGGATTTCGTTGGAAACGGGATTAATTATACAAAGCAGACAGCAGCATTCTCAGAAGCTTCATTGGGATGTTTCAATTGAAGTCACAGTGTTGAACAGTCCCTTTCATAGAGCAGGTTTGAAACACTCCTTTTGTAGTATCTGGAAGTGGACATTTGGAGCGCTCTCAGGACTGCGGTGAAAAAGGAAATATCTTCCAATAAAAGCTAGATAGAAGCAATGTCAGAAACTTTTTCATGATGTATCTACTCAGCTAACAGAGTTGAACCTTTCCTTTGAGAGAGCAGTTTTGAAACACTCTTTTTGTGGAATCTGCAAGTGGATATTTGTCTAGCTTTGAGGATTTCGTTGGAAACGGGATTACATATAAAAAGCAGACAGCAGCATTCCCAGAAACTTTTTTGTGATGTTTGCATTCAAGTCACAGAGTTGAACATTCCCTTTCATAGAGCAGGTTTGAAACACTCTTTTTGTAGTATCTGGATGTGGACATTTGGAGCGCTTTCAGGCCTATGGTGAAAAAGGAAATATCTTCCCCTGATAACTAGACAGAAGCATTCTCAGAAACTTATTTGTGATGTGCGCCCTCAACTAACAGTGTTGAACCTTTCTTTTGATAGAGCAGATTTGAAACACTCTTTTTGTAAAATCTGCAAGAGGATATTTGGATAGCTTTGAGGATTTCGTTGGAAACGGGATTGTCTTCATATAAACTCTAGACAGTAGCATTCTCAGAAGCGTCATTGGGATGTTTCAATTGAAGTCACAGTGTTGAACAGTCCCTTTCATAGAGCAGGTTTGAAACACTCTTTTTGTAGTATCTGGATGTGGACATTTGGAGCGCTTTCAGGCCTATGGTTTAAAAGGAAATATCTTCCCCTGAAAACTAGACAGAAGCATTCTCAGAAACTTATTTGTGATGTGCGCCCTCAACTAACAGTGTTGAACCTTTCTTTTGATAGAGCAGTTTTGAAACACTCTTTTTGTAATATCTGCAAGAGGATATTTGGATAGCTTTGAGGATTTCGTTGGAAACGGGATTAATTATAAAAAGCAGATAGCAGCATTCCCAGAATCTTGTTTGTGATGTTTGCATTCAAGTCACAGAGTTGAACATTCCCTTTCAGAGAGCAGGTTTGAAACACTCCTTTTATAGTATCTGGATGTGGACATTTAGAGCGCTTTCAGGCCTATGGTGAAAAAGGAAATATCTTCTCCTGAAAACTAGACAGAAGCATTCTCAGAAGGTTCATTGTGATGTTTCAATTGAAGTCACAGTGTTGAACAGTCACTTTCATAGAGCAGGTTTGAAACACTCTTTTTGTAGCATCTGGAAGTGGACATTTGGAGCGTTCTCAGGACTACGGTGAAAAAGGAAATATCTTCCAATAAAAGCTAGATAGAAGCAAAGTCAGAAACTTTTTCATGATGTATCTACTCAGCTAACAGAGTTGAACCTTTCTTTTGAGAGAGCAGTTTTGAAATACTCTTTTTGTGGAATCTGCAAGTGGATATTTGTCTAGCTTTGAGGATTTCGTTGGAAACGGGATTACATATAAAAAGCAGACAGCAGCATTCCCAGAAACTTCTTTGTGAAGTTTGCATTCAAGTCACAGAGTTGAACATTCCCTTTCATAGAGCAGGTTTGAAACACTCTTTTTGTAGTATCTGTATGTGGACATTTGGAGCGCTTTCAGGCCTATGGTGAAAAAGGAAATATCTTCCCCTGAAAACTAGACAGAAGCATTCTCAGAAACTTATTTGTGATGTGCGCCCTCAACTAACAGTGTTTGAACATTTCTTTTGATAGAGCAGTTTTGAAACACTCTTTTTGTAAAATCTGCAAGAGGATATTTGGATAGCTTTGAGGATTTCGTTGGAAACGGGATTGTCTTCATATAAAATCTAGACAGAAGCATTCTCAGAAGCGTCATTGGGATGTTTCAATTGAAGTCACAGTGTTGAACAGTCCCTTTCATAGAGCAGGTTTGAAACACTCTTTTTGTAGTATCTGGATGTGGACATTTGGAGCGCTTTCAGGCCTATGGTTTAAAAGGAAATATCTTCCCCTGAAAACTAGACAGAAGCATTCTCAGAATCTTATTTGTGATGTGCGCCCTCAACTAACAGTGTTGAAGCTTTCTTTTGATAGAGCAGTTTTGAAACACTCTTTTCGTAAAATCTGCAAGAGGATATTTGGATAGCTTTGAGGATTTCGTTGGAAACGGGATTACATATAAAAAGCAGACAGCTAAGCATTCTCCGAAACTTATTTGTGATGGGCGCCCTCAACTAACAGTGTTGAAGCTTTCTTTTGATAGAGCAGTTTTGAAACACTCTTTTTGTAATATCTGCAAGAGGATATTTGGATAGCTTTCAGGATTTCGTTGGAAACGGGATTGTCTTCATATAAACTCTAGACATAAGTATTCTCAGAAGCTTCATTGGGATGTTTCAATTGAAGTCACAGTGTTGAACAGTCCCTTTCATAGAGCAGGTTTGAAACACTCTTTTTGTAGTATCTGGAAGTGGACATTTGGAGCGCTCTCAGGACTACGGTGATAAAGGAAATATCTTCCAATAAAAGCTAGATAGAAGCAATGTCAGAAACTTTTTCATGATGTATCTACTCAGCTAACAGAGTTGAACCTTTCTTTTGAGAGAGCAGTTTTGAAACACTCTTTTTGTGGAATCTGCAAGTGGATATTTGTCTAGCTTTGAGGATTTCGTTGGAAACGGGATTACATATAAAAAGCAGACAGCAGCATTCCCAGTAACATCTTTGTGATGTTTGCATTCAAGTCACAGAGTTGAATATTCCCTTTCATAGAGCAGGTTTGAAACACTCTTTTTGTAGTATCTGGATGTGGACATTTGGAGCGCTTTCAGGCCTATGGTGAAAAAGGAAATATCTTCCCCTGAAAACTAGACAGAAGCATTCTCAGAATTTTATTTGTGATGTGCGCCCTCAACTAACAGTGTTGAAGCTTTCTTTTGATAGAGCAGTTTTGAAACACTATTTTTGTAAAATCTGCAAGAGGATATTTGGATAGCTTTGAGGATTTCTTTGGAAACGGGATTGTCTTCATATAAACTCTAGACAGAAGCATTCTCAGATGCTTCATTGGGATGTTTCAATTGAAGTCACAGTGTTGAACAGTCCCTTTCATAGAGCAGGTTTGAAACACTCTTTTTGTAGTATCTGGATGTGGACATTTGGAGCGCTTTCAGGCCTATGGTGAAAAAGGAAATATCTTCCCCTGAAAACTAGACAGAAGCATTCTCAGAAACTTATTTGTGATGTGCCCCCTCAACTAACAGTGTTGAAGCTTTCTTTTGATAGAGCAGTTTTGAAACACTCTTTTTGTGGAATCTGCAAGTGGATATTTGTCTAGCTTTGAGGATTTCGTTGGAAACGGGATTACATATAAAAAGCAGACAGCAGCATTCTCAGAATCTTATTTGTGATGTGCGCCCTCAACTAACAGTGTTGAAGCTTTCTTTTGATAGAGCAGTTTCGAAACACTCTTTTCGTAAAATCTGCAAGAGGATATTTTGATAGCTTTGAGGATTACGTTGGAAACGGGATTGTCTTCATATAAACTCTAGACAGAAGCATTCCCAGTAACTTCTTTGTGATGTTTGCATTCAAGTCACAGAGTTGAACATTCCCTTTCATAGAGCAGGTTTGAAACACTTTTTTTGTAGTATCTGGATGTGGACATTTGGAGCGCTTTCAGGCCTATGGTGAAAAACGAAATATCTTCCAATAAAAGCTACATAGAAGCAATGTCAGAAACTTTTTCATGATGTATCTACTCAGCTAACAGAGTTGAACCTTTCTTTTGAGAGAGCAGTTTTGAAACACTCTTTTTGTAAAATCTGCAAGAGGATATTTGGATAGCTTTGAGGATTTCGTTGGAAACGGGATTGTCTTCATATAAATTCTAGACAGAAGCATTCCCAGAAATTTCTTTGTGATGTTTGCATTCAAGTCACAGAGTTGAACATTCCCTTTCTTAGAGCAGGTTTGAAACACTCTTTTTGTAGTATCTGGATGTGGACATTTGGAGCGCTTTCAGGCCTATGGTGAAAAAGGATATATCTTCCCCTGAAAACTAGACAGAAGCATTCTCAGAATCTTATTTGTGATGTGGGCCCTCAACTAACAGTGTAGAAGCTTTCTTTTGATAGAGCAGTTTTGAAACACTATTTTTGTAAAATCTGCAAGAGGATATTTGGATAGATTTGAGGATTTCGTTGGAAACGGGATTGTCTTCATATAAACTCTAGACAGAAGCATTCTCAGAAGCTTCATTGGGATGTTTCAATTGAAGTCACAGTGTTGAACAGTCCCTTTCATAGAGCAGGTTTGAAACACTCTTTTTGTAGTATCTGGATGTGGACATTTGGAGCGCTTTCAGCCCTATGGTGAAAAAGGAAATATCTTCCCCTGAAAACTAGACAGAAGCATTCTCAGAAACTTATTTGTGATGTGCGCCCTCAACTAACAGTGTTGAAGCTTTCTTTTGATAGAGCAGTTTTGAAACACTCTTTTTGTGGAATCTGCAAGTGGATATTTGTCTAGCTTTGAGGATTTCGTTGGAAACGGGATTACATATAAAAAGCAGACAGCAGCATTCCCAGAATCTTCTTTGTCATGTTTGCATTCAAGTCACAGAGTTGAACATTCCCTTTCATAGAGCAGGTTTGAAACACTCTTTTTATAGTATCTGGATGTGGACATTTGGAGCGCTTTCAGGCCTATGGTGAAAAAGGAAATATCTTCTCCTGAAAACTAGACAGAAGCATTCTCAGAAGCTTCATTGGGATGTTTCAATTGAAGTCACAGTGTTGAACAGTCCCTTTCGTAGAGCAGGTTTGAAACACTCTTTTTGTAATATCTGGAAGTGGACATTTGGAGCGTTCTCAGGACTATGGTGAAAAAGGAAATATCTTCCAATAAAAGCTAGATAGAAGCAATGTCAGAAACTTTTTCATGACGTATCTACTCAGCTAACAGAGTTGAACCTTTCTTTTGAGAGAGCAGTTTTGAAACACTCTTTTTGTGGAATGTGCAAGTGGATATTTGTCTAGCTTTGAGGATTTCGTTGGAAACGGGATTACATATAAAAGGCAGACAGCAGCATTCCCAGTAACTTCTTTGTGATGTTTGCATTCAAGTCACAGAGTTGAACATTCCCTATCATAGAGCAGGTTTGAAACACTATTTTTGAAGTATCTGGATGTGGACATTTGGAGCGCTTTCAGGCCTATGGTGAAAAAGGAAATATCTTCCCCTGAAAACTAGACAGAAGCATTCTCAGAATCTTATTTGTGATGTGCGCCCTCAACTAACAGTGTTGAAGCTTTCTTTTGATAGAGCAGTTTTGAAACACTCTTTTTGTAAAATCTGCAAGAGGATATTTGGATAGCTTTGAGGATTTCGTTGGAAACGGGATTGTGTTCATATAAACTCTAGACAGAAGCATTCTCAGAAGCGTCATTGGGATGTTTCAATTGAAGTCACAGTGTTGAACAGTCCCTTTCATAGAGCAGGTTTGAAACACTCTTTTTGTAGTATCTGGATGTGGACATTTGGAGCGCTTTCAGGCCTATGGTTTAAAAGGAAATATCTTCCCCTGAAAACTAGACAGAAGCATTCTCAGAATCTTATTTGTGATGTGCGCCCTCAACTAACAGTGTTGAAGCTTTCTTTTGATAGAGCAGTTTTGAAACACTCTTTTCGTAAAATCTGCAAGAGGATATTTGGATAGCTTTGAGGATTTCGTTGGAAACGGGATTACATATAAAAAGCAGACAGCTAAGCATTCTCCGAAACTTATTTGTGATGGGCGCCCTCAACTAACAGTGTTGAAGCTTTCTTTTGATAGAGCAGTTTTGAAACACTCTTTTTGTAATATCTGCAAGAGGATATTTGGATAGCTTTCAGGATTTCGTTGGAAACGGGATTGTCTTCATATAAACTCTAGACATAAGCATTCTCAGAAGCTTCATTGGGATGTTTCAATTGAAGTCACAGTGTTGAACAGTCCCTTTCATAGAGCAGGTTTGAAACACTCTTTTTGTAGTATCTGGAAGTGGACATTTGGAGTTCTCTCAGGACTGCGGTGAAAAAGGAAATATCTTCCAATAAAAGCTAGATAGAAGCAATGTCAGAAACTTTTTCATGATGTATCTACTCAGCTAAAAGTGTTGAACCTTTCTTTTGCGAGAGCAGTTTTGAAACACTATTTTTGTGGAATCTGCAAGTGGATATTTGTCTAGCTTTGAGGATTTCGTTGGAATCGGGATTACATATAAAAAGCAGACAGCAGCATTCCCAGAAACTTCTTTGTGATGTTTACATTCAAGTCACACAGTTGAACATTCCCTTTCATAGAGCAGGTTTGAAACACTCTTTTTGTAGTATCTGGATGTGGACATTTGGAGCGCTTTCTGGTCTATGGTGAAAAAGGAAATATCTTCCCCTGAAAACTAGACAGAAGCATTCTCAGAAACTTATTTGTGATGTGCGCCCTCAACTAACAGTGTTGAACCTTTCTTTTGATAGAGTAGTTTTGAAACACTCTTTTTGTAAAATCTGCAAGAGGATATTTGGATAGCTTTGAGGATTTCGTTGGAAACAGGATTGTCTTCATATAAACTCTAGACAGTAGTATTCTCAGAAGCTTCATTGGGATGTTTCAATTGAAGTCACAGTGTTGAACAGTCCCTTTCATAGAGCAGGTTTGAAACACTCTTTTTGTAGTAGCTGGAAGTGGACATTTGGAGAGATCTTTGGAATACGGTGATAAAGGAAATATCTTCCAATAAAAGCTAGATAGAAGCAATGTCAGAAACTTTTTCATAATGTATCTACTCAGCTAACAGAGTTGAACCTTCATTTGAGAGAGCAGTTTTGAAACACTCGTTTTGTGGAATCTGCAAGTGGATATTTGTCTAGCTTTGAGGATTTCGTTGGAAACGGGATTACATATAAAAAGCAGACAGCAGCATTCCCAGAAACTTCTTTGTGTTGTTTGCATTCAAGTCACAGAGTTGAACATTCCCTTTCATAGAGCAGGTTTGAAACACTCTTTTTGTAGTATCTGGATGTGGACATTTGCAGCGCTTTCAGGCCTAAGGTGAAAAAGGAAATATCTTCCCCTGAAAACTAGACAGAAGCATTCTCAGAAACTTATTTGTGATGTGCGCCCTCAACTAACAGTGTTGAAGCTTTCTTTTGATAGAGCAGTTTTGAAACACTCTTTTTGTAATATCTGCAAGAGGATATTTGGATAGCTTTGAGGATTTCGTTGGAAACGGGATTGTCTTCATATAAACTCTAGACAGAAGCATTCTCAGAAGCGTCATTGGGATGTTTCAATTGAAGTCACAGTGTTGAACAGTCCCTTTCATAGAGCAGGTTTGAAACACTCTTTTTGTAGTATCTGGATGTGGACATTTGGAGCGCTTTCAGGCCTATGGTTTAAAAGGAAATATCTTCCCCTGAAAACTAGACAGAAGCATTCTCAGAAACTTATTTGTGATGTGCGCCCTCAACTAACAGTGTTGAACCTTTCTTTTGATAGAGCAGTTTTGAAACACTCTTTTTGTAATATCTGCAAGAGGATATTTGGATAGCTTTGAGGATTTCGTTGGAAACGGGATTAATTATAAAAAGCAGACAGCAGCATTCTCAGTAAACTTATTTGTGATGTGCGCCCTCAACTAACAGTGTTGAACCTTTCTTTTGATAGAGCAGTTTTGAAACACTCTTTTTGTAATATCTGCAAGAGGATATTTGGATAGCTTTGAGGATTTCGTTGGAAACGGGATTGTCTTCATATAAACTCTAGACAGAAGCATTCCCAGAAGCTTCATTGGGATGTTTCAATTGAAGTCACAGTGTTGAACAGTTCCTTTCATAGAACAGGTTTGAAACACTCTTTTTGTAGTATCTGGAAGTGGACATTTGGAGCGCTCTCAGGACTATGGTGAAAAAGGAAATATCTTCCAATAAAAGCTACATAGAAGCAATGTCAGAAACTTTTTCATGATGTATCTACTCAGCTAACAGAGTTGAACCTTCCTTTGAGAGAGCAGTTTTGAAACACTCTTTTTGTGGAATCTGCAAGGGGATATTTGCCTAGCTTTGAGGATTTCGTTGGAAACGGGATTACATATAAAAAGCAGACAGCAGCATTCCCAGAATCTTCTTTGTGATATTTGCATTCAAGTCACAGAGTTGAACATTCCCTTTCATAGAGCAGGTTTGAAACACTCTTTTTGTAGTATCTGGATGTGGACATTTGCAGCGCTTTCAGGCCTAAGGTGAAAAAGGAAATATCTTCCCCTGAAAACTAGACAGAAGCATTCTCAGAAACTTATTTGTGATGTGCGCCCTCAACTAACAGTGTTGAAGCTTTCTTTTCATAGAGCAGTTTTGAAACACTCTTTTTGTGGAATCTGCAAGTGGATATTTGTCTAGCTTTGAGGATTTCGTTGGAAACGGGATTACATATAAAAAGCAGACAGCAGCATTCTCAGCAAACTTATTTGTGATGTGCGCCCTCAACTAACAGTGTGGAACTTTTCTTTTGATAGAGCAGTTTTGAAACACTCTTTTTGTAAAATCTGCAAGAGGATATTTGGATAGCTTTGAGGATTTCGTTGGAAACGGGATTGTCTTCATATAGAATCTAGACAGAAGCATTCTCAGAAGCTTCATTGGGATGTTTCAATTGAAGTCACAGTGTTGAACAGTTCCTTTCATAGAACAGGTTTGAAACACTCTTTTTGTAGTATCTGGAAGTGGACATTTGGAGCGCTCTCAGGACTACGGTGAAAAAGGAAATATCTTCCAATAAAAGCTAGATAGAAGCAATGTCAGAAAATTTTTCATGATGTATCTACTCAGCTAACAGAATTTAACCTTTCTTTTGAGAGAGAAGTTTTGAAACACTCTTTTTGTGGAATCTGCAAGTGGATATTTGTCTAGGTTTGAGGATTTCGTTGGAAACGGGATTGCATATAAAAAGCAGACAGCAGCATTCCCAGAAACTTCTTTGTGATGTTTGCATTCAAGTCACAGAGTTGAACATTCCCTTTCATAGAGCAGGTTTGAAACACTCTTTTTGTAGTATCTGGATGTGGACATTTGGAGCGCTTTCAGGCCTATGGTGAAAAAGGAAATATCTTCCCCTGAAAACTAGACAGAAGCATTCTCAGAATCTTATTTGTGATGTGCGCCCTCAAATAACAGTGTTGAAGCTTTCTTTTGATAGAGCAGTTTTGAAACACTCTTTTTGTAAAATCTGCAAGAGGATATTTGGATAGCTTTGAGGATTTCATTGGAAACGGGATTGTCTTCATATAAACTCTAGACAGAAGCATTCTCAGAAGCGTCATTGGGATGTTTCAATTGAAGTCACAGTGTTGAACAGTCCCTTTCATAGAGCAGGTTTGAAACACTCTTTTTGTAGTATCTGGATGTGGACATTTGGAGCGCTTTCAGGCCTATGGTTTAAAAGGACATATCTTCCCCTGAAAACTAGACAGAAGCATTCTCAGAAACTTATTTGTGATGTGCGCCCTCAACTAACAGTGTTGAAGCATTCTTTTGATAGAGCAGTATTGAAACACTCTTTTTGTGGAATCTGCAAGTGGATATTTGTCTAGCTTTGAGGATTTCGTTGGAAACGGGATTACATATAAAAAGCAGACAGCAGCATTCTCAGAAACTTATTTGTGATGTGCGCCCTCAACTAACAGTGTTGAAGCTTTATTTTGATAGAGCAGTTTTGAAACACTCTTTTTGTAATATCTGCAAGAGAATATTTGGATAGCTTTGAGGATTTCGTTGGAAACGGGATTGTCTTCATATAAACTCTAGAAAGAAGCATTCTCAGAAGCTTCATTGGGATGTTTCAATTGAAGTCACAGTGTTGAACAGTCCCTTTCATAGAGCAGGTTTGAAACACTCTTTTTGTAGTATCTGGAAGTGGACATTTGGAGCGCTCTCAGGACTGCGGTGAAAAAGGAAATATCTTCCAATAAAAGCTAGATAGAAGCAATGTCAGAAACATTTTCATGATGTATCTACTCAGCTAACAGAGTTGAACCTTTCTTTTGAGAGAGCAGTTTTGAAACACTCTTTTTGTGGAATCTGCAAGTGGATATTTGTCTAGCTTTGAGGATTTCGTTGGAAACGGGATTACATATAAAAAGCAGACAGCAGCATTCCCAGAAACTTCTTTGTGATGTTTGCATTCAAGTCACAGAGTTGAACATTCCCTTTCAGAGAGCAGGTTTGAAACACTCTTTTTGTAGTATCTGGATGTGGACATTTGGAGCGCTTTCAGCCCTATGGTGAAAAAGGAAATATCTTCCCCTGAAAACTAGACAGAAGCATTCTCAGAATCTTATTTGTGATGTGCGCCCTCAACTAACAGTGTTGAAGCTTTCTTTTGATAGAGCAGTTTTGAAACACTCTTTTTGTAAAATCTGCAAGAGGATATTTGGATAGCTTTGAGGATTTCGTTGGAAACGGGATTGTCTTCATATAAACTCTAGACAGAAGCATTGTGAGAAACTTCTTTGTGATGTTTGCATTCAAGTCACAGAGTTCAAAGTTCGGTATCATAGAGCAGGTTGGAAACACGCCCTTTGTCATATCTGGATGTGTCCGTTTGGAGCGCATTCAGGCTTGTGTTGAAAAAGGAAATATCTTCCCATAGAAACCAGACAGAAGCATTCTCAGAAACTTATTTGTGATGTGTGTACTCAACTAACAGAATTCAACAATCGTTTTGAAGGAGCAGTTTTGAAACACTCTTTTTGTGGAATCTGCAAGTGCATATGTAGCTAGATTTGAGGATTTCGTTGGAAACGGGATTACATATAAAAAGCAGACAGCAGCATTCCCAGGAAACTTCTTTGTGATATTTGCATTCAAGTCACAGAGTTGAACATTCCCTTTCATAGAGCAGGCTTGAAACACTCTTTTTGTAGTATCTGGATGTGGACATTTGGAGCGCTTTCAGGCCTATGGTGAAAAAGGAAATATCTTCCCCTGAAAACTAGACAGAAGCATTCTCAGAAGCTTCGTTGGGATGTTTCAATTGAAGTCACAGTGTTGAACAGTTCCTTTCATAGAACAGGTTTGAAACACTCTTTTTGTAGTATCTGGAAGTGGACATTTGGAGCGCTCTCAGGACTGCGGTGAAAAAGGATATATCTTCCAATAAAAGCTAGATAGAAGCAATGTCAGAAACTTTTTCATGATGTATCTACTCAGCTAACAGTGTTGAAGCATTCTTTTGATAGAGCAGTTTTGAAACACTCTTTTTGTGGAATCTGCAAGTGGATATTTGTCTAGCTTTGAGGATTTCGTTGGAAACGGGATTAATTATAAAAAGCAGACAGCAGCATTCCCAGAAACTTCTTTGTGATGTTTGCATTCAAGTCACAGAGTTGAACATTCCCTTTCAGAGAGCAGGTTTGAAACACTCTTTATGTAGTATCTGGATGTGGACATTTGGAGCGCTTTCAGGCCTATGGTGAAAAAGGAAATATCTTCCCCTGAAAACTAGACAGAAGCATTCTCAGAATCTTATTTGTGATGTGCGCCCTCAACTAACAGTGTTGAAGCTTTCTTTTGATAGAGCAGTTTTGAAACACTCTTTTTGTAAAATCTGCAAGAGGATATTTGGATAGCTTTGAGGATTTCGTTGGAAACGGGATTGTCTTCATATAAACTCTAGACAGAAGCATTCTCAGAAGCGTCATTGGGATGTTTCAATTGAAGTCACAGTGTTGAACAGTCCCTTTCATAGAGCAGGTTTGAAACACTCTTTTTGTAGTATCTGGATGTGGACATTTGGAGCGCTTTAAGCCTATGGTTTAAAAGGATATATCTTCCCCTGAAAACTAGACAGAAGCATTCTCAGAAACTTATTTGTGATGTGCGCCCTCAACTAACAGTGTTGAAGCTTTCTTTTGATAGAGCAGTTTTGAAACACTCTTTTTGTGGAATCTGCAAGTGGATATTTGTCTAGCTTTGAGGATTTCTTTGGAAACGGGATTACATATAAAAAGCAGACAGCAGCATTCTCAGAAACTTATTTGTGATGTGCGCCCTCAACTAACAGTGTTGAAGCTTTCTTTTGATAGAGCAGTTTTGAAACACTCTTTTTGTAATATCTGCAAGAGGATATTTGGATAGCTTTGAGGATTTCGTTGGAAACGGGATTAATTATACAAAGCAGACAGCAGCATTCTCAGAAGCTTCATTGGGATGTTTCAATTGAAGTCACAGTGTTGAACAGTTCCTTTCATAGAACAGGTTTGAAACACTCTTTTTGTAGTATCTGGAAGTGGACATTTGGAGCGCTCCCAGGACTATGGTGAAAAAGGAAATATCTTCCAATAAAAGCTACATAGAAGCAATGTCAGAAACTTTTTCATGATGTATCTACTCAGCTAACAGAGTTGAACCTTTCTTTTGAGAGAGCCGTTTTGAAACACTCTTTTTGTGGAATCTGCAAGTGGATATTTGTCTAGTTTGAGGATTTCATTGGAAACGGGATTACATATAAAAAGCAGACAGCAGCATTCCCAGAATCTTCTTTGTGATGTTTGCATTCAAGTCACAGAGTTGAACATTCCCTTTCATAGAGCAGGTTTGAAACACTCTTTTTGTAGTATCTGGATGTGGACATTTGGAGCGCTTTCAGGCCTATGGTGAAAAAGGAAATATCTTCCCCTGAAAACTAGACAGAAGCATTCTCAGAATCTTATTTGTGATGTGCGCCCTCAACTAACAGTGTTGAAGCTTTCTTTTGATAGAGCAGTTTTGAAACACCCTTTTCGTAAAATCTGCAAGAGGATATTTGGATAGCTTTGAGGATTACGTTGGAAACGGGATTGTCTTCATATAAACTTTAGACAGAAGCATTCTCAGAAGCTTCATTGGGATGTTTCAACTGAAGTCACAGTGTTGAACAGTCCCTTTCATAGAGCAGGTTTGAAACACTCTTTTTGTAGTATCTGGAAGTGGACATTTGGAGCGCTCTCAGGACTGCGGTGAAAAAGGAAATATCTTCCAATAAAAGCTACATAGAAGCATTCCCAGGAACTTCTTTGTGATGTTTGCATTCAAGTCACAGAGTTGAACATTCCCTTTCATAGAGCAGGTTTGAAACACTCTTTTTGTAGTATCTGGATGTGGACATTTGGAGCGCTTTCAGGCCTGTGGTGAAAAAGGAAATATCTTCCCCTGAAAACTAGACAGAAGCATTCTCAGAATCTTATTTGTGATGTGCGCCCTCAACTAACAGTGTTGAACCTTTCTTTTGATAGAGCAGTTTTGAAACACTCTTTTTGTAATATCTGCAAGAGGATATTTGGATAGCTTCGAGGATTTCGTTGGAAACGGGATTGTCTTCATATAAACTCTAGACAGAAGCATTGTCAGAAGCTTCATTGGGATGTTTCATTTGAAGTCACAGTGTTGAACAGTCCCTTTCATAGAGCAGGTTTGAAACACTCTTTTTGTAGTATCTGGAAGTGGACATTTGGAGCGCTCTCAGGACTACGGTGATAAAGGAAATATCTTCCAATAAAAGCTAGATAGAAGCAATGTCAGAAACTTTTTCATGATGTATCTACTCAGCTAACAGCAGTTGAACCTTTCTTTTGAGACAGCAGTTTTGAAACACTCTTTTTGTGGAATCTGGAAGTGGATATTTGTCTAGCTTTGAGGATTTCGTTGGAAACGGGATTACATATAAAAAGCAGACAGCAGCATTCCCAGAAACTTCTTTGTGATGTTTGCATTCAAGTCACAGAGTTGAACATTCCCTTTCATAGAGCAGGTTTGAAACACTCTTTTTGTAGTATCTGGATGTGGACATTTGGAGTGCTTTCAAGCCTATGGTGAAAAAGGAAATATCTTCCCCTGAAAACTAGACAGAAGCATTCTCAGAATCTTATTTGTGATGTGCGCCCTCAACTAACAGAGTTGAAGCTTTCTTTTGATAGAGCAGTTTTGAAACACTCTTTTTGTAAAATCTGCAAGAGGATATTTGGATAGCTTTGAGGATTTCGTTGGAAACGGGATTGTCTTCATATAAACTCTAGACAGAAGCATTCACAGAAGCCTCATTGGGATGTTTCAATTGAAGTCACAGTGTTGAACAGTCCCTTTCATAGAGCAGGTTTGAAACACTCTTTTTGTAGTATCTGGATGTGGACATTTGGAGCGCTTTCAGGCCTATGGTGAAAAAGGAAATATCTTCCTCTGAAAACTAGACAGAAGCATTCTCAGAAACTTATTTGTGATGTGCGCCCTCAACTAACAGTGTTGAACCTTTCTTTTGATAGAGCAGTTTTGAAACACTCTTTTTGTAATATCTGCAAGAGGATATTTGGATAGCTTTGAGGATTTCGTTGGAAACGGGATTACATATAAAAAGCAGACAGCAGCATTGTCAGAATCTTATTTGTGATGTGCGCCCTCAACTAACAGTGTTGAAGCTTTCTTTTGATAGAGCAGTTTTGAAACACTCTTTTCGTAAAATCTGCAAGAGGATATTTGGATAGCTTTGAGGATTTCGTTGGAAACGGGATTGTCTTCATATAAACTCTAGACAGAAGCATTCTCAGAAGCTTCATTGGGATGTTTCAATTGAAGTCACAGTGTTGAACAGTCCCTTTCATAGAGCAGGTTTGAAACACTCTTTTTGGAGTATCTGGAAGTGGACATTTGGAGAGATCTCAGGACTACGGTGAAAAAGGAAATATCTTCCAATAAAAGCAAGATAGAAGCAATGTCAGAAGCTTTTTCATGATGTATCTACTCAGCTAACAGAGTTGAACCTTTCTTTTGAGAGAGCAGTTTTGAAACACTCTTTTGGTGGAACCTGCAAGTGGATATTTGTCTAGCTTTGAGGATTTCGTTGGAAACGGGATTACATATAAAAAGCAGACAGCAGCATTCCCAGAATCTTCTTTGTGATGTTTGCATTCAAGTCACAGAGTTGAACATTCCCTTTCATAGAGCAGGTTTGAAACACTCTTTTTGTAGTATCTGGATGTGGACATTTGGAGCGCTTTCAGGCCTATGGTGAAAAAGGAAATATCTTCCCCTGAAAACTAGACAGAAGCATTCTGAGAATGTTATTTGTGATGTGCGCCCTCAACTAACAGTGTTGAAGCTTTCTTTTGATAGACCAGTTTTGAAACACTCTTTTTGTAAAATCTGCAAGAAGATATTTGGATAGCTTTGAGGATTTCATTGGAAACGGGATTGTCTTCATATAAACTCTAGACAGAAGCATTCTCAGAAGCTTCATTGGGATGTTTCAATTGAACTCACAGTGTTGAACAGTCCCTTTCATAGAGCAGGTTTGAAACACTCTTTTTGTTGTATCTGGAAGTGGACATTTGGAGCGCTCTCAGGACTACGGTGAAAAAGGAAATATCTTCCAATAAAAGCTACATAGAAGCAATGTCAGAAACTTTTTCATGATGTATCTACTCAGCTAACAGAGTTGAACCTTTCTTTTGAGAGAGCAGTTTTGAAACACTCTTTTTGTGGAATCTGCAAGTGGATATTTGTCTAGCTTTGAGGATTTCGTTGGAAACGGGATTACATATAAAAAGCAGACAGCAGCATTCCCAGTAACTTCTTTGTGATGTTTGCATTCAAGTCACAGAGTTGAACATTCCCTTTCATAGAGCAGGTTTGAAACACTCTTTTTGTAGTATCTGGATGTGGACATTTGCAGCGCTTTCAGGCCTAAGGTGAAAAAGGAACTATCTTCCCCTGAAAACCAGACAGAAGCATTCTCAGAAACTTATTTGTGATGTGCGCCCTCAACTAACAGTGTTGAACCTTTCTTTTGATAGAGCAGTTTTGAAACACTCTTTTTGTAATATCTGCAAGAGGATATTTGGATAGCTTTGAGGATTTCGTTGGAAACGGGATTGTCTTCATATAAACTCTAGACAGAAGCATTCTCAGAAGCTTCATTGGGATGTTTCAATTGAAGTCACAGTGTTGAACAGTCCCTTTCATAGAGCAGGTTTGAAACACTCTTTTTGTAGTATCTGGATGTGGACATTTGGAGCGCTTTCAGGCCTATGGTGAAAAAGGAAATATCTTCCCCTGAAAACTAGACAGAAGCATTCTCAGAAACTTATTTGTGATGTGCGCCCTCAACTAACAGTGTTGAACCTTTCTTTTGATAGAGCAGTTTTGAAACACTCTTTTTGTAATATCTGCAAGAGGATATTTGGATAGCTTTGAGGATTTCGTTGGAAACGGGATTAATTATAAAAAGCAGACAGCAGCATTCTCAGAAACTTATTTGTGATGTGCGCCCTCAACTAACAGTGTTGAAGCTTTCTTTTGATAGAGCAGTTTTGAAACACTCTTTTTGTAATATCTGCAAGAGGATATTTGGATAGCTTTGAGGATTTCGTTGGAAACGGGATTAATTATACAAAGCAGACAGCAGCATTCTCAGAAGCTTCATTGGGATGTTTCAATTGAAGTCACAGTGTTGAACAGTCCCTTTCATAGAGCAGGTTTGAAACACTCTTTTTGTAGTATCTGGAAGTGGACATTTTGAGCGCTCTCAGGACTACCGGTGAAAAAGGAAATATCTTCCAATAAAAGCTAGATAGAAGCAATGTCAGAAACTTTTTCATGATGTATCTACTCAGCTAACAGAGTTGAACCTTTCTTTTGAGAGAGCAGTTTAGAAACACTCTTTTTGTGGAATCTGCAAGTGGATATTTGTCTAGCTTTGAGGATTTCGTTGGAAACGGGATTACATATAAAAAGCACGACAGCAGCATTCCCAGAAACTTCTTTGTGATATTTGCATTCAAGTCACAGACTTGAACATTCCCTTTCATAGAGCAGGTTTGAAACACTCTTTTTGTAGTATCTGGATGTGGACATTTGGAGCGCTTTCAGGCCTATGGTGAAAAAGGAAATATCTTCCCCTGAAAACTAGACAGAAGCATTCTCAGAATCTTATTTGTGATGTGCGCCCTCAACTAACAGTGTTGAAGCTTTCTTTTGATAGAGCAGTTTTGAAACACTCTTTTCGTAAAATCTGCAAGAGGATATTTTGATAGCTTTGAGGATTTCGTTGGAAACGGGATTGTCTTCATATAAACTCTAGACAGAAGCATTCTCAGAAGCGTCATTGGGATGTTTCAATTGAAGTCACAGTGTTGAACAGTCCCTTTCATAGAGCAGGTTTGAAACACTCTTTTTGTAGTATCTGGATGTGGACATTTGGAGCGCTTTCAGGCCTATGGTTTAAAAGGAAATATCTTCCCCTGAAAACTAGACAGAAGCATTCTCAGAAACTTATTTGTGATGTGCGCCCTCAACTAACAGTGTTGAAGCTTTCTTTTGATAGAGCAGTTTTGAAACACTCTTTTTGTGGAATCTGCAAGTGGATGTTTGTCTAGCTTTGAGGATTTCGTTGGAAACGGGATTACATATAAAAAGCAGACAGCAGCATTCTCAGCAAACTTATTTGTGATGTGCGCCCTCAACTAACAGTGTGGAACTTTTCTTTTGATAGAGCAGTTTTGAAACACTCTTTTTGTAAAATCTGCAAGAGGATATTTGGATAGCTTTGAGGATTTCGTTGGAAACGGGATTGTCTTCATATAGAATCTAGACAGAAGCATTCTCAGTAAGCTTCATTGGGATGTTTCAATTGAAGTCACAGTGTTGAACAGTCCCTTTCATAGAACAGGTTTGAAACACTCTTTTTGTAGTATCTGGAAGTGGACATTTGGAGCGCTCTCAGGACTATGGTGAAAAAGGAAATATCTTCCAATAAAAGCTACATAGAAGCAATGTCAGAAACTTTTTCATGATGTATCTACTCAGCTAACAGCAGTTGAACCTTTCTTTTGAGACAGCAGTTTTGAAACACTCTTTTTGTGGAATCTGGAAGTGGATATTTGTCTAGCTTTGAGGATTTCGTTGGAAACGGGATTACATATAAAAAGCAGACAGCAGCATTCCCAGTAACTTCTTTGTGATGTTTGCATTCAAGTCACAGAGTTGAACATTCCCTTTCATAGAGCAGGTTTGAAACACTCTTTTTGCAGTATCTGGATGTGGACATTTGGAGCGCTTTCAGGCCTATGGTGAAAAAGGAAATATCTTCCCCTGAAAACTAGACAGAAGCATTCTCAGAAACTTATTTGTGATGTGCGCCCTCAACTAACAGTGTTGAACCTTTCTTTTGATAGAGCAGTTTTGAAACACTCTTTTTGTAATATCTGCAAGAGGATATTTGGATAGCTTTGAGGATTTCGTTGGAAACGGGATTGTCTTCATATAAACTCTAGACAGAAGCATTCTCAGAAGCTTCATTGGGATGTTTCAATTGAAGTCACAGTGTTGAACAGTCCCTTTCATAGAGCAGGTTTGAAACACTCTTTTTGTAGTATCTGGATGTGGACATTTGGAGCGCTTTCAGGCCTATGGTGAAAAAGGAAATATCTTCCCCTGAAAACTAGACAGAAGCATTCTCAGAAACTTATTTGTGATGTGCGCCCTCAACTAACAGTGTTGAACCTTTCTTTTGAGAGAGCAGTTTTGAAACACTCTTTTTGTGGAATCTGCAAGTGGATATTTGTCTAGCTTTGAGGATTTCGTTGGAAACGGGATTACATATAAAAAGCAGACAGCAGCATTCTCAGTAAACTTATTTGTGATGTGCGCCCTCAACTAACAGTGTTGAACCTTTCTTTTGATAGAGCAGTTTTGAAACACTCTTTTTGTAATATCTGCAAGAGGATATTTGGATAGCTTTGAGGATTTCGTTGGAAACGGGATTGTCTTCATATAAACTCTAGACAGAAGCATTCTCAGAAGCTTCATTGGGATGTTTCAATTGAAGTCACAGTGTTGAACAGTCCCTTTCATAGAGCAGGTTTGAAACACTCTTTTTGTAGTATCTGGAAGTGGACATTTGGAACGCTCTCAGGACTGCGGTGAAAAAGGAAATATCTTCCAATAAAAGCTAGATAGAAGCAATGTCAGAAACTTTTTCATGATGTATCTACTCAGCTAACAGAGTTGAACCTTTCCTTTGAGAGAGCAGTTTTGAAACACTCTTTTTGTGGAATCTGCAAGTGGATATTTGTCTAGCTTTGAGGATTGCGTTGGAAACGGGATTACATATAAAAAGCAGACAGCAGCATTCCCAGAAACTTCTTTGTGGTGCTTGCATTCAAGTCACAGAGTTGATCATTCCCTTTCATAGAGCAGGTTTGAAACACTCTTTTTGTAGTATCTGGATGTGGACATTTGGAGCGCTTTCAGGCCTATGGTGAAAAAGGAAATATCTTCCCCTGAAAACTAGACAGAAGCTTTCTCAGAAACTTATTTGTGATGTGCGCCCTCAACTAACAGTGTTGAACCTTTCTTTTGATAGAGCAGTTTTGAAACACTCTTTTTGTAATATCTGCAAGAGGATATTTGGATAGCTTTGAGGATTTCGTTGGAAACGGGATTGTCTTCATATAAACTCTAGACAGAAGCATTCTCAGAAGCTTCATTGGGATGTTTCAATTGAAGTCACAGTGTTGAACAGTCCCTTTCATAGAGCAGGTTTGAAACACTCTTTTTGTAGTATCTGGAAGTGGACATTTGGAGAGATCTCAGGAATACGGTGATAAAGGAAATATCTTCCAATAAAAGCTAGATAGAAGCAATGTCAGAAACTTTTTCATGATGTATCTACTCAGCTAACAGAGTTGAACCTTTCTTTTGAGAGAGCAGTTTTGAAACACTCTTTTTGTGGAATCTGCAAGTGGATATTTGGATAGCTTTGAGGATTTCGTTGGAAACGGGATTACGTATAAAAAGCAGACAGCAGCATTCCCAGAATCTTGTTTGTGATGTTTGCATTCAAGTCACAGAGTTGAACATTCCCTTTCAGAGAGCAGGTTTGAAACACTCTTTTTATAGTATCTGGATGTGGACATTTGGAGCGCTTTCAGGCCTATGGTGAAAAAGGAAATATCTTCTTCCTGTAAACTAGACAGAAGCATTCTCAGAATCTTATTTGTGATGTGCGCCCTCAGCTAACAGTGTTGAAGCTTTCTTTTGATAGAGCAGTTTTGAAACACTCTTTTCGTAAAATCTGCAAGAGGATATTTGGTAGCTTTTGAGGATTTCGTTGGAAACGGGATTGTCTTCATATAAACTCTAGACAGAAGCATTCTCAGAAGCTTCATTGGGATGTTTCAATTGAAGTCACAGTGTTGAACAGTCCCTTTCATAGAGCAGGTTTGAAACACTCTTTTTGTAGTATATGGAAGTGGACATTTGGAGAGATCTCAGGAATACGGTGATAAAGGAAATATCTTCCAATAAAAGCTAGATAGAAGCAATGTCAGAAACTTTTTCATGATGTATCTACTCAGCTAACAGAGTTGAACCTTTCCTTTGAGAGAGCAGTTTTGAAACACTCTTTTTGTTGAATCTGCAAGTGGATATTTGTCTAGCTTTGAGGATTTCGTTGGAAACGGGATTACATATAAAAAGCAGACAGCAGCATTCCCAGAAACATCTTTGTGATATTTGCATTCAAGTCACAGAGTTGAACATTCCCTTTCATAGAGCAGGTTTGAAACACTCTTTTTGTAGTATCTGGATGTGGACATTTGGAGCGCTCTCAGGCCTATGGTGAAAAAGGAAATATCTTCCCCTGAAAACTAGACAGAAGCATTCTCAGAAACTTATTTGTGATGTGCGCCCTCAACTAACAGTGTTGAACTTTTCTTTTGATAGAGCAGTTTTGAAACACTCTTTTTGTAAAATCTGCAAGAGGATATTTGGATAGCTTTGAGGATTTCGGTGGAAATGGGATTGTCTTCATATAAACTCTAGAGAGTAGCATTCTCAGAAGCTTCATTGGGATGTTTCAATTGAAGTCACAGTGTTGAACAGTCCCTTTCATAGAGCAGGTTTGAAACACTCTTTTTGTAGTATGTGGATGTGGACATTTCGAGCGCTTTCAGGCCTATGGTGAAAAAGGAAATATCTTCCCCTGAAAACTAGACAGAAGCATTCTCAGAAACTTATTTGTGATGTGCGCCCTCAACTAACAATGTTGAACCTTTCTTTTGATAGAGCAGTTTTGAAACACTCTTTTTGTGGAATCTGCAAGTGGATGTTTGTCTAGCTTTGAGGATTTCGTTGGAAACCGGATTACATATAAAAAGCAGACAGCAGCATTCTCAGCAAACTTATTTGTGATGTGCGCCCTCAACTAACAGTGTGGAACTTTTCTTTTGATAGAGCAGTTTTGAAACACTCTTTTTGTAAAATCTGCAAGAGGATATTTGGATAGCTTTGAGGATTTCGTTGGAAACGGGATTGTCTTCATATAGAATCTAGACAGAAGCATTCTCAGAAGCTTCATTGGGATGTTTCAATTGAAGTCACAGTGTTGAACAGTCCCTTTCATAGAGCAGGTTTGAAACACTCTTTTTGTAGTATCTGGAAGTGGACATTTGGAGCGCTCTCAGGACTGCGGTGAAAAAGGAAATATCTTCCAATAAAAGCTAGATAGAAGCAATGTCAGAAACTTTTTCATGATGTATCTACTCAGCTAACAGAGTTGAACCTTCCTTTGAGAGAGCAGTTTTGAAACACTCTTTTTGTGGAATCTGCAAGTGGATATTTGTCTAGCTTTGAGGATTTCGTTGGAAACGGGTTACATATAAAAAGCAGACAGCAGCATTCCCAGTAACTTCTTTGTGGTGTTTGCATTCAAGTCACAGAGTTGAGCATTCCCTTTCATAGAGCAGGTTTGAAACACTCTTTTTGTAGTATCTGGATGTGGACATTTGGAGCGCTTTCAGGCCTATGGTGAAAAAGGAAATATGTTCCCCTGAAAACTAGACAGAAGCATTCTCAGAATCTTATTTGTGATGTGCGCCCTCAACTAACAGTGTTGAAGCTTTCTTTTGATAGAGCAGTTTTGAAACACTCTTTTTGTAAAATCTGCAAGAGGATATTTGGATAGCTTTGAGGATTTCGTTGGAAACGGGATTGTCTTCATATAAACTCTAGACAGAAGCATTCTCAGAAGCTTCATTGGGATGTTTCAATTGAAGTCACAGTGTTGAACAGTCCCTTTCATAGAGCAGGTTTGAAACACTCTTTTTGTAGTATCTGGATGTGGACATTTGGAGCGCTTTCAGGCCTATGGTGAAAAAGGAAATATCTTCCCCTGAAAACTAGACAGAAGCATTCTCAGAAACTTATTTGTGATGTGCGCCTTCAACTAACAGTGTTGAAGCATTCTTTTGATAGAGCAGTTTTGAAACACTCTTTTTGTGGAATCTGCAAGTGGATATTTGTCTAGCTTTGAGGATTTCGTTGGAAACGGGATTACATATAAAAAGCAGACAGCAGCATTCTCAGCAAACTTATTTGTGATGTGCGCCCTCAACTAACAGTGTGGAACTTTTCTTTTGATAGAGCAGTTTTGAAACACTCTTTTTGTAAAATCTGCAAGAGGATATTTGGATAGCTTTGAGGATTTCGTTGGAAACGGGATTGTCTTCATATAGAATCTAGACAGAAGCATTCTCAGAAGCTTCATTGGGAGGTTTCAATTGAAGTCACAGTGTTGAACAGTCCCTTTCATAGAGCAGGTTTGAAACACTCTTTTTGTAGTATCTGGAAGTGGACATTTGGAGCGCTCTCAGTACTACGGTGATAAAGGAAATATCTTCCAATAAAAGCTAGATAGAAGCAATGTCAGAAACTTTTTCATGATGTATCTACTCAGCTAACAGAGTTGAACCTTTCCTTTGAGAGAGCAGTTTTGAAACACTCTTTTTGTGGAATCTGCAAGTGGATATTTGTCTAGCTTTGAGGATTTCGTTGGAAACGGGATTACATATAAAGAGCAGACAGCAGCATTCCCAGAAACTTCTTTGTGATGTTTGCATTCAAGTCACAGAGTTGAACATTCCCTTTCAGAGAGCAGGTTTGAAACACTCTTTTTGTAGTATCTGGATGTGGACATTTGGAGCGCTTTCAGGCCTATGGTGAAAAAGGAAATATCTTCCCCTGAAAACTAGACAGAAGCATTCTCAGAAACTTATTTGTGATGTGCGCACTCAACTAACAGTGTTGAACCTTTCTTTTCATAGAGCAGTTTTGACACACTCTTTTTGTAAAATCTGCAAGAGGATATTTGGATAGCTTTGAGGATTTCGTTGGAAACGGGATTGTCTTCATATAAACTCTAGACAGAAGCATTCTCAGAAATTTCTTAGGGATGTTTCAATTGAAGTCACAGTGTTGAACATTCCCTGTCATAGAGCAGGTTTGAAACACTCTTTTTGTAGTATCTGGAAGTGGACATTTGGAGCGCTCTCAGGACTACGGTGAAAAAGGAAATATCTTCCAATAAAAGCAAGATAGAAGCAATGTCAGAAACTTTTTCATGATGTATCTACTCAGCTAACAGAGTTGAACCTTTCTTTTGAGAGAGCAGTTTTGAAACACGCTTTTTGTGGAATCTGCAAGTGGATATTTGTCTAGCTTTGAGGATTTCGTTGGAAACGGGATTACATATAAAAAGCAGACAGCAGCATTCCCAGAAATCTTCTTTGTGATGTTTGCATTCAAGTCACAGAGTTGAACATTCCCTTTCATAGAGCAGGTTTGAAACACTCTTTTTGTAGTATCTGGAAGTGGACATTTGGAGCGCTCTCAGGACTCCGGTGATAAAGGAAATATCTTCCAATAAAAGCTAGATAGAAGCATTCTCAGAAACTTATTTGTGATGTGCGCCCTCAACTAACAGTGTTGAAGCTTTCTTTTGATAGAGCAGTTTTGAAACACTCTTTTTGTAATATCTGCAAGAGGATATTTGGATAGCTTTGAGGATTTCGTTGGAAACGGGATTGTCTTCATATAAACTCTAGACAGAAGCATTCTCAGAAGCGTCATTGGGATGTTTCAATTGAAGTCACAGTGTTGAACAGTCCCTTTCATAGAGCAGGTTTGAAACACTCTTTTTCTAGTATCTGGATGTGGACATTTGGAGCGCTTTCAGGCCTATGGTTTAAAAGGAAATATCTTCCCCTGAAAACTAGACAGAAGCATTCTCAGAAACTTATTTGTGATGTGCGCCCTCAACTAACAGTGTTGAAGCTTTCTTTTGATAGAGCAGTTTTGAAACACTCTTTTTGTGGAATCTGCAAGTGGATATTTGTCTAGCTTTGAGGATTTCGTTGGAAACGGGATTACATATAAAAAGCAGACAGCAGCATTCTCAGAAACTTATTTGTGATGTGCGCCCTCAACTAACAGTGTTGAAGCTTTATTTTGATAGAGCAGTTTTGAAACACTCTTTTTGTAATATCTGCAAGAGAATATTTGGATAGCTTTGAGGATTTCGTTGGAAACGGGATTGTCTTCATATAAACTCTAGAAAGAAGCATTCTCAGAAGCTTCATTGGGATGTTTCAACTGAAGTCACAGTGTTGAACATTCCCTTTCATAGAGCAGGTTTGAAACACTCTTTTTGTAGTATCTGGAAGTGGACATTTGGAGCGCTCTCAGGACTACGGTGAAAAAGGAAATATCTTCCAATAAAAGCTAGATAGAAGCAATGTCAGAAACTTTTTCATGATGTATCTACTCAGCTAACAGAGTTGAACCTTCCTTTGAGAGAGCAGTTTTGAAACACTCTTTTTGTGGAATCTGCAAGTGGATATTTGTCTAGCTTTGAGGATTGCGTTGGAAACGGGATTACATATAAAAAGCAGACAGCAGCATTCCCAGAAACTTCTTTGTGATGTTTGCATTCAAGTCACAGAGTTGAACATTCCCTTTCAGAGAGCAGGTTTGAAACACTCTTTTTATAGTATCTGGATGTGGACATTTGGAGCGCTTTCAGGCCTATGGTGAAAAAGGAAATATCTTCTCCTGAAAACTAGACAGAAGCATTCTCAGAATCTTATTTGTGATGTGCGCCCTCAACTAACAGTGTTGAAGCTTTCTTTTGATAGAGCAGTTTTGAACCACTCTTTTTGTAAAATCTGCAAGAGGATATTTGCATAGCTTTGAGGATTTCATTGGAAACGGGATTGTCTTCATATAAACTCTAGACAGAAGCATTCTCAGAAGCTTCATTGGGATGTTTCAATTGAAGTCACAGTGTTGAACAGTCCCTTTCATAGAGCAGGTTTGAAACACTCTTTTTGTAGTATCTGGATGTGGACATTTGGAGCGCTTTCAGGCCTATGGTTTAAAAGGAAATATCTTCCCCTGAAAACTAGACAGAAGCATTCTCAGAAACTTATTTGTGATGTGCGCCCTCAACTAACAGTGTTGAAGCTTTCTTTCGATAGAGCAGTTTTGAAACACTCTTTTTGTGGAATCTGCAAGTGGATATTTGTCTAGCTTTAAGGATTTCGTTGGAAACGGGATTACATATAAAAAGCAGACAGCAGCATTCTCAGTAAACTTATTTGTGATGTGCGCCCTCAACTAACAGTGTTGAACCTTTCTTTTGATAGAGCAGTTTTGAAACACTCTTTTTGTAATATCTGCAAGAGGATATTTGGATAGCTTTGAGGATTTCGTTGGAAACGGGATTGTCTTCATATAAACTCTAGACAGAAGCATTCTCAGAAGCTTCATTGGGATGTTTCAATTGAAGTCACAGTGTTGAACAGTCCCTTTCATAGAGCAGGTTTGAAATACTCTTTTTGTAGTATCTGGAAGTGGACATTTGGAGAGATCTCAGGAATACGGTGATAAAGGAAATATCTTCCAATAAAAGCTAGATAGAAGCAATGTCAGAAACTTTTTCATGATGTATCTACTCAGCTAACAGAGTTGAACCTTCCTTTGAGAGAGCAGTTTTGAAACACTCTTTTTGTGGAATCTGCAAGTGGATATTTGTCTAGCTTTGAGGATTTCGTTGGAAAAGGGATTACATATAAAAAGCAGACAGCAGCATTCCCAGAAACTTCTTTGTGAAGTTTGCATTCAAGTCACAGAGTTGAACATTCCCTTTCATAGAGCAGGTTTGAAACACTCTTTTTGTAGTATCTGTATGTGGACATTTGGAGCGCTTTCAGGCCTATGGTGAAAAAGGAAATATCTTCCCCTGAAAACTAGACAGAAGAATTCTCAGAATCTTATTTGTGATGAGCGCCCTCAACTAACAGTGTTGAAGCTTTCTTTTGATAGAGCAGTTTTGAAACACTCTTTTTGTAAAATCTGCAAGAGGATATTTGGATAGCTTTGAGGATTTCGTTGGAAACGGGATTGTCTTCATACAAACTCTAGACCGAAGCATTCTCAGAAGCTTCATTGGGATGTTTCAATTGAAGTCACAGTGTTGAACAGTCCCTTTCATAGAGCAGGTTTGAAACACTCTTTTTGTAGTATCTGGATGTGGACATTTGGAGCGCTTTCAGGCCTATGGTGAAAAAGGAAATATCTTCCCCTGAAAACTAGACAGAAGCATTCTCAGAAACTTATTTGTGATGTGCGCCCTCAACTAACAGTGTTGAAGCTTTCTTTTGATAGAGCAGATTTGAAACACTCTTTTTGTGGAATCTGCAAGTGGATGTTTGTCTAGCTTTGAGGATTTCGTTGGAAACGGGATTACATATAAAAAGCAGACAGCAGCATTCCCAGAATCTTGTTTGTGATGTTTGCATTCAAGTCACAGAGTTGAACATTCCCTTTCATAGAGCAGGTTTGAAACACTCTTTTTATAGTATCTGGATGTGAACATTTGGAGCGCTTTCAGGCCTATGGTGAAAAAGGAAATATCTTCTCCTGAAAACTAGACAGAAGCATTCTCAGAATCTTATTTGTGATGTGCGCCCTCAACTAACAGTGTTGAAGCTTTCTTTTGATAGAGCAGTTTTGAAACACTCTTTTTGTAAAATCTGCAAGAGGATATTTGGATAGCTTTGAGGATTTCGTTGGAAACGGGATTGTCTTCATATAAACTCTAGACAGAAGCATTCTCAGAAGCGTCATTGGGATGTTTCAATTGAAGTCACAGTGTTGAACAGTCCCTTTCATAGAGCAGGTTTGAAACACTCTTTTTGTAGTATCTGGATGTGGACATTTGGAGCGCTTTCAGGCCTATGGTTTAAAAGGAAATATCTTCCCCTGAAAACTAGACAGAAGCATTCTCAGAAACTTATTTGTGATGTGCGCCCTCAACTAACAGTGTTGAAGCATTCTTTTGATAGAGCAGTTTTGAAACACTCTTTTTGTGGAATCTGCAAGTGGATATTTGTCTAGCTTTGAGGATTTCGTTGGAAACGGGATTACATATAAAAAGCAGACAGCTAAGCATTCTCCGAAACTTATTTGTGATGGGCGCCCTCAACTAACAGTGTTGAAGCTTTCTTTTGATAGAGCAGTTTTGAAACACTCTTTTTGTAATATCTGCAAGAGGATATTTGGATAGCTTTCAGGATTTCGTTGGAAACGGGATTGTCTTCATATAAACTCTAGACATAAGCATTCTCAGAAGCTTCATTGGGATGTTTCAATTGAAGTCACAGTGTTGAACAGTCACTTTCATAGAGCAGGTTTGAAACACTCTTTTTGTAGCATCTTGAAGTGGACATTTGGAGCGTTCTCAGGACTACGGTGAAAAAGGAAATATCTTCCAATAAAAGCTAGATAGAAGCAATGTCAGAAACTTTTTCATGATGTATCTACTCAGCTAACAGAGTTGAACCTTTCTTTTGGGAGAGCAGTTTTGAAACACTCTTTTTGTGGAATCTGCAAGTGGATATTTGTCTAGCTTTGAGGATTTCGTTGGAAACGGGATTACATATAAAAAGCAGACAGCAGCATTCCCAGAAACTTCTTTGTGATGTTTGCATTCAAGTCACAGAGTTGAACATTCCCTTTCATAGAGCAGGTTTGAAACACTCTTTTTGTAGTATCTGGATGTGGACATTTGGAGCACTTTCAGGCCTATGGTGAAAAAGGAAATATCTTCCCCTGAAAAGTAGACAGAAGCATTCTCAGAAACTTATTTGTGATGTGCGCCCTCAACTAACAGTGTTGAAGCTTTCTTTTGATAGAGCAGTTTTGAAACACTCTTTTTGTAATATCTGCAAGAGGATATTTGGATAGCTTTGAGGATTTCGTTGGAAACGGGATTGTCTTCATATAAACTCTAGATAGAAGCATTCTCAGATGCTTCATTGGGATGTTTCAATTGAAGTCACAGTATTGGACAGTCCCTTTCTTAGAGCAGGTTTGAAACACTCTTTTTGTAGTATCTGGATGTGGACATTTGGAGCGCTTTCATGCCTATGGTGAAAAAGGAAATATCTTCCCCTGAAAACTAGACAGAAGCATTCTCAGAAACTTATTTGTGATGTGCGCCCTCAACTAACAGTGTTGAAGCATTCTTTTGATAGAGCAGTTTTGAAACACTCTTTTTGTGGAATCTGCAAGTGGATATTTGTCTAGCTTTGAGGATTTCGTTGGAAACGGGATTACATATAAAAAGCAGACAGCAGCATTCTCAGAATCTTATTTGTGATGTGCGCCCTCAACTAACAGTGTTGAAGCTTTCTTTTGATAGAGCAGTTTTGAAACACTCTTTTTGTAAAATTTGCAAGAGGATATTTGGATAGCTTTGAGAATTTCATTGGAAACGGGATTGTCTTCATATAAACTCTAGACAGAAGCATTCTCAGAAGCTTCATTGGGATGTTTCAATTGAAGTCACAGTGTTGAACAGTCCCTTTCATAGAGCAGGTTTGAAACACTCTTTTTGTAGTATCTGGAAGTGGACATTTGGAGCGCTCTCAGGACTACGGTGAAAAAGGAAATATCTTCCAATAAAAGCTACATAGAAGCAATGTCAGAAACTTTTTCATGATGTATCCACTCAGCTAACAGAGTTGAACCTTCCTTTGAGAGAGCAGTTTTGAAACACTCTTTTTGTGGAATCTGCAAGTGGATATTTGTCTAGCTTTGAGGATTTCGTTGGAAACGGGATTACATATAAAAAGCAGACAGCAGCATTCCCAGTAACTTCTTTGTGATGTTTGCATTCAAGTCACAGAGTTGAACATTCCCTTTCATAGAGCAGGTTTGAAACACTCTTTTTGTAGTATCTGGATGTGGACATTTGGAGCGCTTTCAGGCCTATGGTGAAAAAGGAATATCTTCCCCAGAAAACTAGACAGAAGCATTCTCAGAAACTTATTTGTGATGTGCGCCCTCAACTACCAGTGTTGAACCTTTCTTTTGATAGAGCAGTTTTGAAACACACTTTTTGTAATATCTGCAAGAGGATATTTGGATAGCTTTGAGGATTTCATTGGAAACGGGATTGTCTTCATATAAACTCTAGACAGAAGCATTCCCAGTAACTTCTTTGTGATGTTTGCATTCAAGTCACAGAGTTGAACATTCCCTTTCATAGAGCAGGTTTGAAACACTCTTTTTGTAGTATCTGGATGTGGACATTTGGAGCGCTTTCAGGCCTATGATTTAAAAGGAAGTATCTTCCCCTGAAAACTAGACAGAAGCATTCTCAGAAACTTATTTGTGATGTGCGCCCTCAACTAAGAGTGTTGAAGCATTCTTTTGATAGAGCAGTTTTGAAACACTCTTTTTGTGGAATCTGCAAGTGGATATTTGTCTAGCTTTGAGGATTTCGTTGGAAACGGGATTACATATAAAAAGCAGACAGCTAAGCATTCTCCGAAACTTATTTGTGATGGGCGCCCTCAACTAACAGTGTTGAAGCTTTCTTTTGATAGAGCAGTTTTGAAACACTCTTTTTGTAATATCTGCAAGAGGATATTTGGATAGCTTTCAGGATTTCGTTGGAAACGGGATTGTCTTCATATAAACTCTAGACATAAGCATTCTCAGAAGCTTCATTGGGATGTTTCAATTGAAGTCACAGTGTTGAACAGTCCCTTTCATAGAGCAGGTTTGAAACACTCTTTTTGTAGTATCTGGAAGTGGACATTTGGAGCGCTCTCAGGACTGCGGTGAAAAAGGAAATATCTTCCAATAAAAGCTAGATAGAAGCAATGTCAGAAACTTTTTCATGATGTATCTACTCAGCTAACAGAGTTGAACCTTTCCTTTGAGAGAGCAGTTTTGAAACACTCTTTTTGTGGAATCTGCAAGTGGATATTTGTCTAGCTTTGAGGATTTCGTTGGAAACGGGATTACATATAAAAAGCAGACAGCAGCATTCCCAGAAACTTCTTTGTGATGTTTGCATTCAAGTCACAGAGTTGAACATTCCCTTTCATAGAGCAGGTTTGAAACACTCTTTTTGTAGTATCTGGATGTGGACATTTGCAGCGCTTTCAGGCCTAAGGTGAAAAAGGAAATATCTTCCCCTGAAAACTAGACAAAAGCATTCTCAGAAACTTATTTGTGATGTGCGCCCTCAACTAACAGTGTTGAAGCTTTCTTTTGATAGAGCAGTTTTGAAACACTCTTTTTGTAATATCTGCAAGAGGATATTTGGATAGCTTTGAGGATTTCGTTGGAAACGGGATTGTCTTCATATAAACTCTAGGCAGAAGCATTCTCAGAAGCTTCATTGGGATGTTTCAATTGAAGTCACAGTGTTGAACAGTCCCTTTCATAGAGCAGGTTTGAAACACTCTTTTTGTAGTATCTGGATGTGGACATTTGGAGCGCTTTCAGGCCTATGGTGAAAAAGGAAATATCTTCCCCTGAAAACTAGACAGAAGCATTCTCAGAAACTTATTTGTGATGTGCGCCCTCAACTAACAGTGTTGAAGCATTCTTTTGATAGAGCAGTTTTGAAACACTCTTTTTGTGGAATCTGCAAGTGGATATTTGTGTAGCTTTGAGGATTTCGTTGGAAACGGGATTACATATAAAAAGCAGACTGCAGCATTCTCAGAAACTTATTTGTGATGTGCGCCCTCAACTAACAGTGTTGAAGCTTTCTTTTGATAGAGCAGTTTTGAAACACTCTTTTTGTAATATCTGCAAGAGGATATTTGGATAGCTTTGAGGATTTCGTTGGAAACGGGATTAATTATACAAAGCAGACAGCAGCATTCTCAGAAGCTTCATTGGGATGTTTCAATTGAAGTCACAGTGTTGAACAGTCCCTTTCATAGAGCAGGTTTGAAACACTCTTTTTGTAGTATCTGGAAGTGGACATTTGGAGCGCTCTCAGGACTGCGGTGAAAAAGGAAATATCTTCCAATAAAAGCTAGATAGAAGCAATATCAGAAACTTTTTCCTGATGTATCTACTCAGCTAAAAGAGTTGAACCATTCCTTTGAGAGAGCAGTTTTGAAACACTATTTTTGTGGAATCTGCAAGTGGATATTTGTCTAGCTTTGAGGATTTCGTTGGAAACGGGATTACATATAAAAAGCAGACAGCAGCATTCCCAGTAAACTTCTTTGTGATGTTTGCATTCAAGTCACAGAGTTGAACATTCCCTTTTATAGAGCAGGTTTGAAACACTCTTTTTGTAGTATCTGGATGTGGACATTTGGAGCGCTTTCAGGCCTATGGTGAAAAAGGAAATATCTTCCCCTGAAAACTAGACAGAAGCATTCTCAGAAACTTATTTGTGATGTGCGCCCTCAACTAACAGTGTTAAACCTTTCTTTTGATAGAGTAGTTTTGAAACACTCTTTGTAAAATCTGCAAGAGGATATTTGGATAGTTTTGAGGATTTCTTTGGAAACGGGATTGTCTTCATATAAAATCTAGACAGAAGCATTCTCAGAAGCTTCATTGGGATGTTTCAATTGAAGTCACAGTGTTGAACAGTCCCTTTCATAGAGCAGGTTTGAAACACTCTTTTTGTAGTATCTGGATGTGGACATTTGGAGCCTTTCAGGCCTATGGTTTAAAAGGAAATATCTTCCCCTGAAAACTAGACAGAAGCATTCTCAGAAACTTATTTGTGATGTGCGCCCTCAACTAACAGTGTTGAAGCTTTCTTTTGATAGAGCAGTTTTGAAACACTCTTTTTGTAATATCTGCAAGAGGATATTTGGATAGCTTTGAGGATTTCGTTGGAAACGGGATTAATTATAAAAAGCAGACAGCAGCATTCTCAGTAAACTTATTTGTGATGTGCGCCCTCAACTAACAGTGTTGAACCTTTCTTTTGATAGAGCAGTTTTGAAACACTCTTTTTGTAATATCTGCAAGAGGATATTTGGATAGCTTTGAGGATTTCGTTGGAAACGGGATTGTCTTCATATAAACTCTAGACAGAAGCATTCTGAGAAGCTTCATTGGGATGTTTCAATTGAAGTCACAGTGTTGAACAGTCCCTTTCATAGAGCAGGTTTGAAACACTCTTTTTGTAGCATCTGGAAGTGGACATTTGGAGCGCTCTCAGGACTACGGTGAAAAAGGAAATATCTTCCAATAAAAGCTAGATAGAAGCAATGTCAGAAACTTTTTCATGATGTATCTACTCAGCTAACAGAGTTGAACCTTTCTTTTGAGAGAGCAGTTTTGAAACACTCTTTTTGTGGAATCTGCAAGTGGATATTTGTCTAGCATTGAGGATTTCGTTGGAAACGGGATTACATATAAAAAGCAGACAGCAGCATTCCCAGTAACTTCTTTGTGATGTTTGCATTCAAGTCACAGAGTTGAACATTCCCTTTCATACAGCAGGTTTGAAACACTCTTTTTGTAGTATCTGGATGTGGACATTTGGAGCGCTTTCAGGCCTATGGTGAAAAAGGAAATATCTTCCCCTGAAAACTAGACAGAAGCATTCTCAGAAACTTATTTGTGATGTGCGCCCTCAACTAACAGTGTTGAACCTTTCTTTTGATAGAGCAGTTTTGAAACACTCTTTTTGTAATATCTGCAAGAGGATATTTGGATAGCTTTGAGGATTTCGTTGGAAACGGGATTACATATAAAAAGCAGACAGCAGCATTCTCAGCAAACTTATTTGTGATGTGCGCCCTCAACTAACAGTGTGGAACTTTTCTTTTGATAGAGCAGTTTTGAAACACTCTTTTTGTAAAATCTGCAAGAGGATATTTGGATAGCTTTGAGGATTTCGTTGGAAACGGGATTGTCTTCATATAGAATCTAGACAGAAGCATTCTCAGAAGCTTCATTGGGATGTTTCAATTGAAGTCACAGTGTTGAACAGTCCCTTTCATAGAGCAGGTTTGAAACACTCTTTTTGTAGTATCTGGAAGTGGACATTTGGAGCGCTCTCAGGACTGCGGTGAAAAAGGAAGTATCTTCCAATAAAAGCTAGATAGAAGCAATGTCAGAAACTTTTTCATGATGTATCTACTCAGCTAACAGAGTTGAACCTTCATTTGAGAGAGCAGTTTTGAAACACTCGTTTTGTGGAATCTGCAAGTGGATATTTGTCTAGCTTTGAGGATTTCGTTGGAAACGGGATTACATATAAAAAGCAGACAGCAGCATTCCCAGAATCTTCTTTGTGATGTTTGCATTCAAGTCCCAGAGTTGAACATTCCGTTTCATAGAGCAGGTTTGAAACACTCTTTTTATAGTATCTGGATGTGGACATTTGGAGCGCTTTCAGGCCTATGGTGAAAAAGGAAATATCTTCTCCTGAAAACAACTCAGAAGCATTCTCAGAAACTTATTTGTGATGTGCGCCCTCAACTAACAGTGTTGAAGCTTTCTTTTGATAGAGCAGTTTTGAAACACTCTTTTTGTAATATCTGCAAGAGGATATTTGGATAGCTTTCAGGATTTTCGTTGGAAACGGGATTGTCTTCATATAAACTCTAGACAGAAGCATTCTCAGAAGCTTCATTGGGATGTTTCAATTGAAGTCACAGTGTTGAACAGTCCCTTTCATAGAGCAGGTTTGAAACACTCTTTTTGTAGTATCTGGATGTGGACATTTGGAGCGCTTTCAGGCCTATGGTGAAAAAGGAAATATCTTCCCCTGAAAACTAGACAGAAGCATTCTCAGAAACTTATTTGTGATGTGCGCCCTCAACTAACAGTGTTGAAGCTTTCTTTTGATAGAGCAGTTTTGAAACACTCTTTTTGTGGAATCTGCAAGTGGATATTTGTCTAGCTTTGAGGATTTCGTTGGAAACGGGATTACATATAAAAAGCAGACAGCAGCATTCTCAGCAAACTTATTTGTGATGTGCGCCCTCAACTAACAGTGTGGAACTTTTCTTTTGATAGAGCAGTTTTGAAACACTCTTTTTGTAAAATCTGCAAGAGGATATTTGGATAGCTTTGAGGATTTCGTTGGAAACGGGATTGTCTTCATATAGAATCTAGACAGAAGCATTCTCAGAAGCTTCATTGGGATGTTTCAATTGAAGTCACAGTGTTGAACAGTTCCTTTCATAGAACAGGTTTGAAACACTCTTTTTGTAGTATCTGGAAGTGGACATTTGGAGCGCTCTCAGGGCTACGGTGAAAAAGGAAATATCTTCCAATAAAAGCTACATAGAAGCAATGTCAGAAACTTTTTCATGATGTATCTACTCAGCTAACAGAGTTGAACCTTTCTTTTGAGAGAGCAGTTTTGAAACACTCTTTTTGTGGAATCTGCAAGTGGATATTTGCTTAGCTTTGAGGATTTCGTTGGAAACGGGATTACATATAAAAAGCAGACAGCAGCATTCCCAGAATCTTGTTTGTGATGTTTGCATTCAAGTCACAGAGTTGAACATTCCCTTTCAGAGAGCAGGTTTGAAACACTCTTTTTATAGTATCTGGATGTGGACATTTTGAGCGCTTTCAGGCCTATGGTGAAAAAGGAAATATCTTCTCCTGAAAACTAGACAGAAGCATTCTCAGAATCTTATTTGTGATGTGCGCCCTCAACTAACAGTGTTGAAGCTTTCTTTTGATAGAGCAGTTTTGAAACACTCTTTTTGTAAAATCTGCAAGAGGATATTTGGATAGCATTGAGGATTTCGTTGGAAACGGGATTGTCTTCATATAAACTCTAGACAGAAGCATTCTCAGAAGCTTCATTGGGATGTTTCAATTGAAGTCACAGTGTTGAACAGTCCCTTTCATAGAGCAGGTTTGAAACACTCTTTTTGTAGTATCTGGATGTGGACATTTGGAGCGCTTTCAGGCCTATGGTGAAAAAGGAAATATCTTCCCCTGAAAACTAGACAGAAGCATTCTCAGAAACTTATTTGTGATGTGCGCCCTCAACTAACAGTGTTGAAGCATTCTTTTGATAGAGCAGTTTTGAAATACTCTTTTTGTGGAATCTGCAAGTAGATATTTGTCTAGCTTTGAGGATTTCGTTGGAAACGGGATTACACATAAAAAGCAGACAGCAGCATTCCCAGAAACTTCTTTGTGATGTTTGCATTCAAGTCACAGTGTTAAACATTCCCTTTCATAGAGCAGGTTTGAAACACTCTTTTTGTAGTATCTGGATGTGGACATTTGGAGCGCTTTCAGGCCTATGGTGAAAAAGGAAATATCTTCCCCTGAAAACTAGACAGAAGCATTCTCAGAAGCTTCATTGGGATGTTTCAATTGAAGTCACAGTGTTGAACAGTCCCTTTCATAGAGCAGGTTTGAAACACTCTTTTTGTAGTATCTGGAAGTGGACATTTGGAACGCTCTCAGGACTGCGGTGAAAAAGGAAATATCTTCCAATAAAAGCTAGATAGAAGCAATGTCAGAAACTTTTTCATGATGTATCTACTCAGCTAACAGAGTTGAACCTTTCTTTTGAGAGAGCAGTTTTCAAACACTCTTTTTGTGGAATCTGCAAGTGGATATTTGTCTAGCTTTGAGGATTTCGTTGGAAAAGGGATTACATATAAAAAGCAGACAGCAGCATTCCCAGAAACTTCTTTGTGATGTTTGCATTCAAGTCACAGAGTTGAACATTCCCTTTCATAGAGCAGGTTTGAAACACTCTTTTTGTAGTATCTGGATGTGGACATTTGCAGCGCATTCAGGCCTAAGGTGAAAAAGGAAATATCTTCCCCTGAAAACTAGACAGAAGCATTCTCAGAAACTTATTTGTGATGTGCGCCCTCAACTAACAGTGTTGAAGCTTTCTTTTGATAGAGCAGTTTTGAAACACTCTTTTTGTAATATCTGCAAGAGGATATTTGGATAGCTTTGAGGATTTCGTTGGAAACGGGATTGTCTTCATATAAACTCTAGACAGAAGCATTCTCAGAAGCTTCATTGGGATGTTTCAATTGAAGTCACAGTGTTGAACAGTCCCTTTCATAGAGCAGGTTTGAAACACTCTTTTTGTAGTATCTGGATGTGGACATTTGGAGCGCTTTCAGGCCTATGGTGAAAAAGGAAATATCTTCCCCTGAAAACTAGAGAGAAGCATTCTCAGAAACTTATTTGTGATGTGCGCCCTCAACTAACAGTGTTGAAGCTTTCTTTTGATAGAGCAGTTTTGAAACACTCTTTTTGTGGAATCTGCAAGTGGATATTTGTCTAGCTTTGAGGATTTCGTTGGAAACGGGATTACATATAAAAAGCAGACAGCAGCATTCTCAGTAAACTTATTTGTGATGTGCGCCCTCAACTAACAGTGTTGAACCTTTCTTTTGATAGAGCAGTTTTGAAACACTCTTTTTGTAATATCTGCAAGAGGATATTTGGATAGCTTTGAGGATTTCGTTGGAAACGGGATTGTCTTCATATAAACTCTAGACAGAAGCATTCTCAGAAGCTTCATTGGGATGTTTCAATTGAAGTCACAGTGTTGAACAGTTCCTTTCATAGAACAGGTTTGAAACACTCTTTTTGTAGTATCTGGAAGTGGACATTTGGAGCGCTCTCAGGACTATGGTGAAAAAGGAAATATCTTCCAATAAAAGCTACATAGAAGCAATGTCAGATACTTTTTCATGATGTATCTACTCAGCTAACAGAGTTGAACCTTTCTTTTGAGAGAGCAGTTTTGAAACACTCTTTTTGTGGAATCTGGAAGTGGATATTTGTCTAGCTTTGAGGATTTCGTTGGAAACGGGATTACATATAAAAAGCAGACAGCAGCATTCCCAGTAAACTTCTTTGTGATGTTTGCATTCAAGTCACAGAGTTGAACATTCCCTTTCATAGAGCAGGTTTGAAACAGTCTTTTTGTAGTATCTGGATGTGGACATTTGGAGCGCTTTCAGGCCTATGGTGAAAAAGGAAATATCTTCCCCTGAAAACTAGACAGAAGTATTCTCAGAAACTTATTTGTGATGTGCGCCCTTAACTAACAGTGTTGAAGTTTTCTTTTGATATAGCAGTTTTGAAACATTCTTTTTGTAAAATCTGCAAGAGGATACTTGGATAGCTTTGAGGATTTCGTTGGAAACGTGATTGTCTTCATATTAACCCTAGACAGTAGCATTCTCAGATGCTTCATTGGGATGTTTCAATTGAAGTCACAGTGTTGAACAGTCCCATTCATAGAGCAGGTTTGAAACACTCTTTTTGTAGTATCTGGATGTGGACATTTGGAGCGCTTTCAGGCCTATGGTAAAAAAGGAAATATCTTCCCCTGAAAACTAGACAGAAGCATTCTCAGAAACTTATTTGTGATGTGCCCCCTCAACTAACAGTGTTGAAGCTTTCTTTTGATAGAGCAGTTTTGAAACACTCTTTTTGTGGAATCTGCAAGTGGATATTTGTCTAGCTTTGAGGATTTCGTTGGAAACGGGATTACATATAAAAAGCAGACAGCAGCATTCTCAGAAACTTATTTGTGATGTGCGCCCTCAACTAACAGTGTTGAAGCTTTCTTTTGATAGAGCAGTTTTGAAACACTCTTTTTGTAATATCTGCAAGAGGATATTTGGATAGCTTTGAGGATTTCGTTGGAAACGGGATTAATTATACAAAGCAGACAGCAGCATTCTCAGAAGCTTCATTGGGATGTTTCAATTGAAGTCACAGTGTTGAACAGTCCCTTTCATAGAGCAGGTTTGAAACACTCTTTTTGTAGTATCTGGAAGTGGACATTTGGAGAGATCTCAGGAATACGGTGATAAAGGAATTATCTTCCAATAAAAGCTAGATAGAAGCAATGTCAGAAACTTTTTCATGATGTATCTACTCAGCTAACAGAGTTGAACCTTTCTTTTGAGAGAGCAGTTTTGAAACACTCTTTTTGTGGAATCTGCAAGTGGATATTTGTCTAGCTTTGAGGATTTCGTTGGAAACGGGATTACATATAAAAAGCAGACAGCAGCATTCCCAGTAACTTCTTTGTGATGTTTGCATTCAAGTCACAGAGTTGAACATTCCCTTTCATAGAGCAGGTTTGAAACACTTTTTTTGTAGTATCTGGATGTGGACATTTGGAGCGCTTTCAGGCCTATGGTGAAAAAGGAAATATCTTCCAATAAAAGCTACATAGAAGCATTCTCAGAAACTTATTTGTGATGTGCGCCCTCAACTAACAGTGTTGAACCTTTCTTTTGATAGAGCAGTTTTGAAACACTCTTTTTGTAATATCTGCAAGAGTATATTTGGATAGCTTTGAGGATTTCGTTGGAAATGGGATTGTCTTCATATAAACTCTAGACAGAAGCATTCTCAGAAGCTTCATTGGGATGTTTCAATTGAAGTCACAGTGTTGAACAGTCCCTTTCATAGAGCAGGTTTGAAACACTCTTTTTGTAGTATCTGGATGTGGACATTTGGAGCGCTTTCAGGCCTATGGTTTAAAAGGAAATATCTTCCCCTGAAAACTAGACAGAAGCATTCTCAGAAACTTATTTGTGATGTGCCCCCTCAACTAACAGTGTTGAAGCTTTCTTTTGATAGAGCAGTTTTGAAACACTCTTTTTGTGGTATCTGCAAGTGGATATTTGTCTAGCTTTGAGGATATCGTTGGAAACGGGATTACATATAAGAAGCAGACAGCAGCATTCTCAGTAAACTTATTTGTGATGTGCGCCCTCAACTAACAGTGTTGAACCTTTCTTTTGATAGAGCAGTTTTGAAACACTCTTTTTGTAATATCTGCAAGAGGATATTTGGATAGCTTTGAGGATTTCGTTGGAAACGGGATTGTCTTCATATAAACTCTAGACAGAAGCATTCTCAGAAGCTTCATTGGGATGTTTCAATTGAAGTCACAGTGTTGAACAGTCCCTTTCATAGAGCAGGTTTGAAACACTCTTTTTGTAGTATCTGGAAGTGGACATTTGGAGCGTTCTCAGGACTACAGTGGAAAAGGAAATATCTTCCAATAAAAGCTAGATAGAAAGCAATGTCAGAAACTTTTTCATGATGTATCTACTCAGCTAACAGAGTTGAACCTTTCTTTTGAGAGAGCAGTTTTGAAACACTCTTTTTGTGGAATCTGCAAGTGGATACTTGTCTAGCTTTGAGGATTTCGTTGGAAACGGGATTACATATATAAAGCAGACAGCAGCATTCCCAGAATCTTCTTTGTGATGTTTGCATTCAAGTCACAGAGTTGAACATTCCCTTTCATAGAGCAGGTTTGAAACACTCTTTTTGTAGTATCTGGATGTGGACATTTGGAGCGCTTTCAGGCCTACGGTGAAAAAGGAAATATCTTCCCCTGAAAACTAGACAGAAGCATTCTCAGAATCTTATTTGTGATGTGCGCCCTCAACTAACAGTGTTGAAGCTTTCTTTTGATAGAGCAGTTTTGAAACACTCTTTTTGTAAAATCTGCAAGAGGATATTTGGATAGCTTTGAGGATTTCGTTGGAAACGGGATTGTCTTCATATAAACTCTAGACAGAAGCATTCTCAGAAGCTTCATTGGGATGTTTCAATTGAAGTCACAGTGTTGAACAGTCCCTTTCATAGAGCAGGTTTGAAACACTCTTCTTGTAGTATCTGGATGTGGACATTTGGAGCGCTTTCAGGCCTATGGTTTAAAAGGAAATATCTTCCCCTGAAAACTAGACAGAAGCATTCTCAGAAACTTATTTGTGATGTGCGCCCTCAACTAACAGTGTTGAAGCATTCTTTTGATAGAGCAGTTTTGAAACACTCTTTTTGTGGAATCTGCAAGTGGATATTTGTCTAGCTTTGAGGATTTCGTTGTTAACGGGATTACATATAAAAAGCAGACAGCAGCATTCTCAGAAACTTATTTGTGATGTGCGCCCTCAACTAACAGTGTTGAAGCTTTCTTTTGATAGAGCAGTTTTGAAACACTCTTTTTGTAATATCTGCAAGAGGATATTTGGATAGCTTTGAGGATTTCGTTGGAAACGGGATTAATTATACAAAGCAGACAGCAGCATTCTCAGAAGCTTCATTGGGATGTTTCAATTGAAGTCACAGTGTTGAACAGTTCCTTTCATAGAACAGGTTTGAAACACTCTTTTTGTAGTATCTGGAAGTGGACATTTGGAGCGCTCTCAGGACTGCGGTGAAAAAGGAAATATCTTCCAATAAAAGCTACATAGAAGCAATGTCAGAAACTTTTTCATGATGTATCTACTCAGCTAACAGAGTTGAACCTTTTTTTTGAGAGAGCAGTTTTGAAACACTCTTTTTGTTCGATCTGCAGGTGGATATTTGTCTAGGTTTGAGGATTTCGTTGGAAACGGGATTACATATAAAAAGCAGACAGCAGCATTCCCAGAAACTTCTTGGTGATGTTTGCATTCAAGTCACAGAGTTGAACATTCCCTTTCATAGAGCAGGTTTGAAACACTCTTTTTGTAGTATCTCTATGTGGACATTTGGAGCGCTTTCAGGCCTATGGTGAAAAAGGAAATATCTTCCCCTGAAAACTAGACAGAAGCATTCTCAGAATCTTATCTGTGATGTGCGCCCTCAACTAACAGTGTTGAAGCTTTCTTTTGATAGAGCAGTTTTGAAACACTCTTTTCGTAAAATCTGCAAGAGGATATTTTGATAGCTTTGAGGATTTCGTTGGGAAACGGGATTGTCTTCATATAAACTCTAGACAGAAGCATTCTCAGAAGCTTCATTGGGATGTTTCAATTGAAGTCACAGTGTTGAACAGTCCCTTTCATAGAGCAGGTTTGAAACACTCTTTTTGTAGTATCTGGATGTGGACATTTCGAGCGCTTTCAGGCCTATGGTGAAAAAGGAAATATCTTCCCCTGAAAACTAGACAGAAGCATTCTCAGAAACTTATTTGTGATGTGCGCCCTCAACTAACAGTGTTGAAGCTTTCTTTTGATACAGCAGTTTTGAAACACTCTTTTTGTGGAATCTGCAAGTGTATATTTGTCTAGCTTTGAGGATTTCGTTGGAAACGGGATTACATATAAAAAGCAGACAGCAGCATTCCCAGAATCTTGTTTGTGATGTTTGCATTCAAGTCACAGAGTTCAACATTCCCTTTCAGAGAGCAGGTTTGAAACACTCTTTTTATAGTATCTGGATGTGGACATTTGGAGCGCTTTCAGGCCTATGGTGAAAAAGGAAATATCTTCTCCTGAAAACTAGACAGAAGCATTCCCAGAAGCTTCATTGGGATGTTTCAATTGAAGTCACAGTGTTGAACAGTCCCTTTCATAGAGCAGGTTTGAAATACTCTTTTTGTAGTATCTGGAAGTGGACATTTGGAACGCTCTCAGGACTGCGTTGAAAAACGAAATATCTTCCAATAAAAGCTAGATAGAAGCAATGTCAGAAACTTTTTCATGATGTATCTACTCAGCTAACAGAGTTGAACCTTCCTTTGAGAGAGCAGTTTTGAAACACTCGTTTTGTGGAATCTGCAAGTGGATATTTGTCTAGCTTTGAGGATTTCGTTGGAAACGGGATTACATATAAAAAGCAGACAGCAGCATTCCCAGAATCTTGTTTGTGATGTTTGCATTCAAGTCACAGAGTTAAACATTCCCTTTCAGAGAGCAGGTTTGAAACACTCTTTTTATAGTATCTGGATGTGGACATTTGGAGCGCTTTCAGGCCTATGGTGAAAAAGGAAATATCTTCTCCTGAAAACTAGACAGAAGCATTCTCAGAATCTTATTTGTGATGTGCCCCCTCAACTAACAGTGTTGAAGCTTTCTTTTGATAGAGCAGTTTTGAAACACTCTTTTCGTAATATCTGCAAGAGGATATTTTGATAGCTTTGAGGATTTCGTTGGAAACGGGATTGTCTTCATATAAACTCTAGACAGAAGCATTCTCAGATGCTTCATTGGGATGTTTCAATTGAAGTCACAGTGTTGAACAGTCCCTTTCATAGAGCAGGTTTGAAACACTCTTTTTGTAGTATCTGGATGTGGACATTTGGAGCGCTTTCAGGCCTATGGTGAAAAAGGAAATATCTTCCCCTGAAAACTAGACAGAAGCATTCCCAGAAAGTACTTTGTGAAATTTGCATTCAAGTCACGGACTTGAACATTCCCTTTCATAGAGCAGGTTTGAAACACTCTTTTTGTAGTATCTGGATGTGGACATTTGGAGCGCTTTCAGGCCTATGATGAAAAAGGAAATATCTTCCCCTGAAAACTAGGCAGAAGCATTCTCAGAAACTTATTTGTGATGTGCGCCCTCAACTAACAGTGTTGAACCTTTCTTTTGAAAGAGCAGTTTTGAAACACTCTTTTTGTAAAATCTGCAATAGGATATTTGGATAGTTTTGAGGATTTCGTTGGAAACGGGATTGTCTTCATATAGAATCTAGACAGAAGCATTCTCAGAAGCTTCATTGGGATGTTTCAATTGAAGTCACAGTGTTGAACAGTCCCTTTCATAGAGCAGGTTTGAAACACTCTTTTTGTAGTATCTGGAAGTGGACATTTGGAGCGTTCTCAGGACTACGGTGAAAAAGGAAATATCTTCCAATAAAAGCTAGATAGAAGCAATGTCAGAAACTTTTTCATGATGTATCTACGCAGCTAACAGAGTTGAACCTTTTTTTTGAGAGAGCAGTTTTGAAACACTCTTTTTGTGGAATCTGCAAGTGGATGTTTGTCTAGCTTTGAGGATTTCGTTGGAAACGGGATTACATATAAAAAGCAGACAGCAGCATTCCCAGAAACTTCTTTGTGATGTTTGCATTCAAGTCACACAGTTGAACATTCCCTTTTATAGAGCAGGTTTGAAACACTCTTTTTGTAGTATCTGGATGTGGACATTTGCAGCGCTTTGAGGCCTATGGTGAAAAAGGAAATATCTTCCCCTGAAAACTAGACAGAAGCATTCTCAGAAACTTATTTGTGATGTGCGCCCTCAACTAACAGTGTTGAAGCTTTCTTTTGATAGAGCAGTTTTGAAACACTCTTTTTGTAATATCTGCAAGAGGATATTTGGATAGCTTTGAGGATTTCGTTGGAAACGGGATTGTCTTCATATAAACTCTAGACAGAAGCATTCCCAGGAACTTCTTTGTGATGTTTGCATTCAAGTCACAGAGTTGAACATTCCCTTTCATAGAGCAGGTTTGAAACACTCTTTTTGTAGTATCTGGATGTGGACATTTACAGCGCTTTCAGGCCTAAGGTGAAAAAGGAAATATCTTCCCCTGAAAACTAGACAGAAGCATTCTCAGAAACTTATTTGTGATGTGCGCCCTCAACTAACAGTGTTGAAGCTTTCTTTTGATAGAGCAGTTTTGAAAAACTCTTTTTGTGGAATCTGCAAGTGGATATTTGTCTAGCTTTGAGGATTTCGTTGGAAACGGGATTACATATAAAAAGCAGACAGCAGCATTCTCAGAAGGTTCTTTGGGATGTTTCAATTGAAGTCACAGTGCTGAACAGTCACTTTCATAGAGCAGGTTTGAAACACTCTTTTTGTAAAATCCGCAAGAGGATATTTGGATAGCTTTGAGGATTTCGTTGGAAACGGGATTGTCTTCATATAGAATCTAGACAGAATCATTCTCAGAAGCTTCATTGGGATGTTTCAATTGAAGTCACAGTGTTGAACAGTCCCTTTCATAGAGCAGATTTGAAACACTCTTTTTGTAGTATCTGGAAGTGGACATTTGGAGCGTTCTCAGCACTACAGTGAAAAAGGAAATATCTTCCAATAAAAGCTAGATAGAAGCAATGTCAGAAACTTTTTCATGATGTATCTACTCAGCTAACAGAGTTGAACCTTTCTTTTGAGAGAGAAGTTTTGAAACACTCTTTTTGTGGAATCTGCAAGTGGATATTTGTCTAGCTTTGAGGATTTCGTTGGAAACGGGTTTACATATAAAAAGCAGACAGCAGCATTCCCAGAATCTTCTTTGTGATGTTTGCATTCAAGTCACAGAGTTGAACATTCCCTTTCATAGAGCAGGTTTGAAACACTCTTTTTGTAGTATCTGGATGTGGACATTTGGAGCGCTTTCAGGCCTATGGTGAAAAAGGAAATATCTTCCCCTGAAAACTAGACAGAAGCATTCTCAGAAACTTATTTGTGATGTGCGCCCTCAACTAACAGTGTTGAAGCTTTCTTTTGATAGAGCAGTTTTGAAACACTCTTTTTGTAAAATCTGCAAGAGGATATTTGGATAGCTTTGAGGATTTCGTTGGAAACGGGATTGTCTTCATATACAATCTAGACAGAAGCATTCTCAGAAGCTTCATTGGGATGTTTCAATTGAAGTCACAGTGTTGAACAGTCCCTTTCATAGAGCAGGTTTGAAACACTCTTTTTGTAGTATCTGGATGTGGACATTTGGAGCGCTTTCAGGCCTATGGTTTAAAAGGAAATATCTTCCCCTGAAAACTAGACAGAAGCATTCTCAGAAACTTATTTGTGATGTGCGCCCTCAACTAACAGTGTTGAAGCTTTCTTTTGATAGAGCAGTTTTGAAACACTCTTTTTGTGGAATCTGCAAGTGGATATTTGTCTAGCTTTGAGGATTTCGTTGGAAACGGGATTACATATAAAAAGCAGACAGCAGCATTCTCAGAAACTTATTTGTGATGTGCGCCCTCAACTAACAGTGTTGAAGCTTTATTTTGATAGAGCAGTTTTGAAACACTCTTTTTGTAATATCTGCAAGAGAATATTTGGATAGCTTTGAGGATTTCGTTGGAAACGGGATTGTCTTCATATAAACTCTAGAAAGAAGCATTCTCAGAAGCTTCATTGGGATGTTTCAATTGAAGTCACAGTGTTGAACAGTCCCTTTGATAGAGCAGGTTTCAAAAACTTTTTTTGTAGTATCTGGAAGTGGACATTTGGAGCGTTCTCAGGACTACAGTGAAAAAGGAAATATCTTCCAATAAAAGCTAGGTAGAAGCAATGTCAGAAACTTTTTCATGATGTATCTACTCAGCTAACAGAGTTGAACCTTTCTTTTGAGAGAGCAGTTTTGAAACACTCTTTTTGTGGAATCTGCAAGTGGATATTTGTCTAGTTTTGAGGATTTCGTTGGAAACGGGATTACATATAAAAAGCAGACAGCAGCATTCCCACAAACATCTTTGCGATGTTTGCATTCAAGTCACAGAGTTGAACATTCCCTTTCATAGAGCAGGTTTGAAACACTCTTTTTGTAGTATCTGTATGTGGACATTTGGAGCGCTTTCAGGCCTATGGTGAAAAAGGAAATATCTTCCCCTGAAAACTAGACAGAAGCATTCTCAGAAACTTATTTGTGATGTGCGCCCTCAACTAACACTGTTGAACCTTTCTTTTGATAGAGCAGTTTTGAAACACTCTTTTTGTAAAATCTGCAAGAGGATATTTGGATAGCTTTGAGGATTTCGTTGGAAACGGGATTGTCTTCATATAAACTCTAGACAGAAGCATTCTCAGAAGCTTCATTGGGATGTTTCAATTGAAGTCACAGTGTTGAACAGTCCCTTTCATAGAGCAGGTTTGAAACACTCTTTTTGTAGTATCTGGATGTGGACATTTGGAGCGCTTTCAGGCCTATGGTGAAAAAGGAAATATCTTCCCCTGAAAACTAGACAGAAGCATTCTCAGAAACTTATTTGTGATGTGCGCCCTCAACTAACAGTGTTGAAGCTTTCTTTTGATAGAGCAGTTTGGAAACACTCTTTTTGTGGAATCTGCAAGAGGATATTTTTCTAGCTTTGAGGATATTGTTGGAAACGGGATTACATATAAAAAGCAGACAGCAGCATTCCCAGAATCTTGTTTGTGATTTTTGCATTCAAGTCACAGACTTGAACATTCCCTTTCAGAGAGCCGGTTTGAAACACTCTTTTTATAGAATCTGGATGTGGACATTTGGAGCGCTTTCAGGCCTATGGTGAAAAAGGAAATATCTTCCCCTGAAAACTAGACAGAAGCATTCTCAGAAGCTTCATTGGGATGTTTCAGTTGAAGTCACAGTGTTGAACAGTCCCTTTCATAGAGCAGGTTTGAAACACTCTTTTTGTAGTATCTGGAAGTGGACATTTGGAGCGCTCTCAGGACTGCGGTGAAAAAGGAAATATCTTCCAATAAAAGCTAGATAGAAGCAATGTCAGAAACTTTTTCATGATGTATCTACTCAGCTAACAGAGTTGAACCTTCCTTTGAGAGAGCAGTTTTGAAACACTCTTTTCGTGGAATCTGCAAGTGGATATTTGTCTAGCTTTGAGGATTTCGTTGGAAACGGGATTACATATAAAAAGCAGACAGCAGCATTCCCAGAAACTTCTTTGTGATGTTTGCATTCAAGTCACAGAGTTGAACATTCCCTTTCATAGAGCAGGTTTGAAACACTCTTTTTGTAGTATCTGGATGTGGACATTTGCAGCGCTTTCAGGCCTAAGGTGAAAAAGGAAATATCTTCCCCTGAAAACTAGACAGAAGCATTCTCAGAATCTTATTTGTGATGTGCGCCCTCAACTAACAGTGTTGAAGCTTTCTTTTGATAGAGCAGTTTTGATACACTCTTTTTGTAAAATCTGCAAGAGGATATTTGGATAGCTTTGAGGATTTCGTTGGAAGCGGGATTGTCTTCATATAAACTCTAGACAGAAGCATTCTCAGAAGCTTCATTGGGATGTTTCAATTGAAGTCACAGTGTTGAACAGTCCCTTTCATAGAGCAGGTTTGAAACACTCTTTTTGTAGTATCTGGATGTGGAGATTTGGAGTGCTTTCAGGCCTATGGTTTAAAAGGAAATATCTTCCCCTGAAAACTGGACAGAAGCATTCTCAGAAACTTATTTGTGATGTGCGCCCTCAACTAACAGTGTTGAAGCTTTCTTTTGATAGAGCAGTTTTGAAACACTCTTTTTGTGGAATCTGCAAGTGGATATTTGTCTAGCTTTGAGGATTTCGTTGGAAACGGGATTACATATAAAAAGCAGACAGCAGCATTCTCAGTAAACTTATTTGTGATGTGCGCCCTCAACTAACAGTGTTGAACCTTTCTTTTGATAGAGCAGTTTTGAAACACTCTTTTTGTAATATCTGCAAGAGGATATTTGGATAGCTTTGAGGATTTCGTTGGAAACGGGATTGTCTTCATATAAACTCTAGACAGAAGCATTCTCAGCAGCTTCATTGGGATGTTTCAATTGAAGTCACAGTGTTGAACAGTCCCTTTCATAGAGCAGGTTTGAAACACTCTTTTTGTAGTATCTGGAAGTGGACATTTGGAACGCTCTCAGGACTGCGGTGAAAAAGGAAATATCTTCCAATAAAAGCTGCATAGAAGCAATGTCAGAAACTTTTTCATGATGTATCTACTCAGCTAACAGAGTTGAACTGAACCTTCCTTTGAGAGAGCAGTTTTGAAACACTCTTTTTGTGGAATCTGCAAGTGGATATTTGTCTAGCTTTGAGGATTTCGTTGGAAACGGGATTGTCTTCATATAAACTCTAGACAGAAGCATTCCCAGAAACTTCTTTGTGAAGTTTGCATTCAAGTCACAGAGTTGAACATTCCCTTTCATAGAGCAGGTTTGAAACACTCTTTTTGTAGTATCTGTATGTGGACATTTGGAGCGCTTTCAGGCCTATGGTGAAAAAGGAAATATCTTCCCCTGAAAACTAGACAGAAGCATTCTCAGAATCTTATTTGTGATGTGCACCCTCAACTAACAGTGTTGAAGCTTTCTTTTGATAGAGCAGTTTTGAAACACTCTTTTCGTAAAATCTGCAAGAGGACATTTGGTTAGCTTTGAGGATTTCGTTGGAAACGGGATTGTCTTCATATAAACTCTAGACAGAAGCATTCTCAGAAGCTTCATTGGGATGTTTCAATTGAAGTCACAGTGTTGAACAGTCCCTTTCATAGAGCAGGTTTGAAACACTCTTTTTGTAGTATCTGGATGTGGACATTTCGAGCGCTTTCAGGCCTATGGTGAAAAAGGAAATATCTTCCCCTGAAAACTAGACAGAAGCATTCTCAGAAACTTATTTGTGATGTGCGCCCTCAACTAACAGTGTTGAAGCTTTCTTTTGATAGAGCAGTTTTGAAACACTCTTTTTGTGGAATCTGCAAGTGGATATTTGTCTAGCTTTGAGGATTTCGTTGGAAACGGGATTACATATAAAAAGCAGACAGCAGCATTCTCAGTAAACTTATTTGTGATGTGCGCCCTCAACTAACAGTGTTGAACCTTTCTTTTGATAGAGCAGTTTTGAAACACTCTTTTTGTAATATCTGCAAGAGGATATTTGGATAGCTTTGAGGATTTCGTTGGAAACGGGATTGTCTTCATATAAACTCTAGACAGAAGCATTCTCAGAAGCTTCATTGGGATGTTTCAATTGAAGTCACAGTGTTGAACAGTCCCTTTCATAGAGCAGGTTTGAAACACTCTTTTTGTAGTATCTGGAAGTGGACATTTGGAGCGCTCTCAGGACTGCGGTGAAAAAGGAAATATCTTCCAATAAAAGCTAGATAGAAGCAATGTCAGAAACTTTTTCATGACGTATCTACTCAGCTAACAGAGTTGAACCTTTCTTTTGAGAGAGCAGTTTTGAAACACTCTTTTTGTGGAATCTGCAAGTGGATATTTGTCTAGCTTTGAGGATTTCGTTTGAAACGGGATTACATATAAAAAGCAGACAGCAGCATTCCCAGAAACTTCTTTGTGAAGTTTGCATTGAAGTCACAGAGTTGAACATTCCCTTTCATAGAGCAGGTTTGAAACACTCTTTTTGTAGTATCTGTATGTGGACATTTGGAGCGCTTTCAGGCCTATGGTGAAAAAGGAAATATCTTCCCCTGAAAACTAGACAGAAGCATTCTCAGAAACTTATTTGTGATGTGCGCCCTCAACTAACAGTGTTGAAGCTTTCTTTTGATAGAGCAGTTTTGAAACACTCTTTTTGTAATATCTGCAAGAGGATATTTGGATAGCTTTGAGGATTTCGTTGGAAACGGGATTGTCTTCATATAAACTCTAGACAGAAGCATTCTCAGAAGCTTCATTGGGATGTTTCAATTGAAGTCACAGTGTTGAACAGTCCCTTTCATAGAGCAGGTTTGAAACACTCTTTTTGTAGTATCTGGAAGTGGACATTTGGAGCGCTCTCAGGACTACGGTGAAAAAGGAAATATCTTCCAATAAAAGCTAGATAGAAGCAATGTCAGAAACTTTTTCATGATGTATCTACTCAGCTAACAGAGTTGAACCTTTCCTTTGAGAGAGCAGTTTTGAAACACTCTTTTTGTGGAATCTGCAAGTGGATATTTGCTTAGCTTTGAGGATTTCGTTGGAAACGGGATTACATATAAAAAGCAGACAGCAGCATTCCCAGAATCTTGTTTGTGATGTTTGCATTCAAGTCACAGAGTTGAACATTCCCTTTCAGAGAGCAGGTTTGAAACACTCTTTTTATAGTATCTGGATGTGGACATTTGGAGCGCTTTCAGGCCTATGGTGAAAAAGGAAATATCTTCTCCTGTAAACTAGACAGAAGCATTCTCAGAATCTTATTTGTGATTAGCGCCCTCAACTAACAGTGTTGAAGCTTTCTTTTGATAGAGCAGTTTTGAAACACTCTTTTCGTAAAATCTGCAAGAGGATATTTTGATAGCTTTGAGGATTTCGTTGGAAACGGGATTGTCTTCATATAAACTCTAGACAGAAGCATTCCCAGTAACTTCTTTCTGATGCTTGCATTCAAGTCACAGAGTTGAACATTCCCTTTCAAAGAGCAGGTTTGAAACACTCTTTTTGTAGTATCTGGGTGTGGACATTTGGAGCGCTTTCAGGCCTATGGTGAAAAAGGAAATATCATCCCCTGAAAACTAGACAGAAGCATTCTCAGAAACTTATTTGTGATGTGCGCCCTCAACTAACAGTGTTGAACCTTTCTTTTGATAGAGCAGTTTTGAAACACTCTTTTTGTAATATCTGCAAGAGGATATTTGGATAGCTTTGAGGATTTCGTTGGAAACGGGATTACATATAAAAAGCAGACAGCAAGCATTCTCAGAATCTTATTTGTGATGTGCGCCCTCAACTAACAGTGTTGAAGCTTTCTTTTGATAGAGCAGTTTTGAAACACTCTTTTCGTAAAATCTGCAAGAGGATATTTGGATAGCTTTGAGGATTTCGTTGGAAACGGGATTGTCTTCATATAAACTCTAGACAGAAGCATTCTCAGAAGCTTCATTGGGATGTTTCAATTGAAGTCACAGTGGTGAACAGTCCCTTTCATAGAGCAGGTTTGAAACACTCTTTTTGTAGTATCTGGAAGTGGACATTTGGAGAGATCTCAGGAATACGGTGATAAAGGAAATATCTTCCAATAAATGCTAGATAGAAGCAATGTCAGAAACTTTTTCATGATCTATCTACTCAGCTAACAGAGTTGAACCTTTCTTTTGAGAGAGCAGTTTTGAAACACTCTTTTTGTGGAATCTGCAAGTGGATATTTGTCTAGCTTTGAGGATTGCGTTGGAAACGGGATTACATATAAAAAGCAGACAGCAGCATTCCCAGAAACTTCTTTGTGATGTTTGCATTCAAGTCACAGAGTTGAATATTCCCTTTCAGAGAGCAGGTTTGAAACACTCTTTTTGTAGTATCTGGATGTGGACATTTGGAGCGCTTTCAGGCCTATGGTGAAAAAGGAAATATCTTCCCCTGAAAACTAGACAGAAGCATTCTCAGAATCTTATTTGTGATGTGCGCCCTCAACTAACAGTGTTGAAGCTTTCTTTTGATAGAGCAGTTTTGAAACACGCTTTTCGTAAAATCTGCAAGAGGATATTTGGATAGCTTTGAGGATTTCGTTGGAAACGGGATTGTCTTCATATAAACTCTAGACAGAAGCATTCTCAGAAGCGTCATTGGGATGTTTCAATTGAAGTCACAGTGTTGAACAGTCCCTTTCATAGAGCAGGTTTGAAACACTCTTTTTGTAGTATCTGGATGTGGACATTTGGAGCGCTTTCAGGCCTATGGTTTAAAAGGAAATATCTTCCCCTGAAAACTAGACAGAAGCATTCTCAGAAACTTATTTGTGATGTGCGCCCTCAACTAACAGTGTTGAAGCATTCTTTTGATAGAGCAGTTTTGAAACACTCTTTTTGTGGAATCTGCAAGTGGATATTTGTCTAGCTTTGAGGATTTCGTTGGAAACGGGATTACATATAAAAAGCAGACAGCTAAGCATTCTCCGAAACTTATTTGTGATGGGCGCCCTCAACTAACAGTGTTGAAGCTTTCTTTTGATAGAGCAGTTTTGAAACACTCTTTTTGTAATATCTGCAAGAGGATATTTGGATAGCTTTCAGGATTTCGTTGGAAACGGGATTGTCTTCATATAAACTCTAGACATAAGCATTCTCAGAAGCTTCATTGGGATGTTTCAATTGAAGTCACAGTGTTGAACAGTCCCTTTCATAGAGCAGGTTTGAAACACTCTTTTTGTAGTATCTGGAAGTGGACATTTGGAACGCTCTCAGGACTGCGGTGAAAAAGGAAATATCTTCCAATAAAAGCTAGATAGAAGCAATGTCAGAAACTTTTTCATGATGTATCTACTCAGCTAACAGAGTTGAACCTTCCTTTGAGAGAGCAGTTTTGAAACACTCTTTTTGTGGAATCTGCAAGTGGATATTTGTCTAGCTTTGAGGATTTCGTTGGAAACGGGTTACATATAAAAAGCAGACAGCCAGCATTCCCAGTAACTTCTTTGTGATGTTTGCATTCAAGTCACAGAGTTGAACATGCCCTTTCATAGAGCAGGTTTGAAACACTCTTTTTGTAGTATCTGGATGTGGACATTTGGAGCGCTTTCAGGCCTATGGTGAAAAAGGAAATATCTTCTCCTGAAAACTAGACAGAGCATTCTCAGAATCTTATTTGTGATGTGCGCCCTCAACTAACAGTGTTGAAGCTTTCTTTTGATAGAGCAGTTTTGAAACACTCTTTTTGTAAAATCTGCAAGAGGATATTTGGATAGCTTTGAGGATTTCGTTGGAAACGGGATTGTCTTCATATAAACTCTAGACAGAAGCATTCTCAGAAGCTTCATTGGGATGTTTCAATTGAAGTCACAGTGTTGAACAGTCCCTTTCATAGAGCAGGTTTCAAACACTCTTTTTGTAGTATCTGGATGTGGACATTTGGAGCGCTTTCAGGCCTATGGTTTAAAAGGAAATATCTTCCCCTGAAAACTAGACAGAAGCATTCTCAGAAACTTATTTGTGATGTGCGCCTTCAACTAACAGTGTTGAAGCATTCTTTTGATAGAGCAGTTTTGAAACACTATTTTGTGGAATCTGCAAGTGGATATTTGTCTAGCTTTGAGGATTTCGTTGGAAACGGGATTACATATAAAAAGCAGACAGCAGCATTCTCAGAAACTTATTTGTGATGTGCGCCCTCAACTAACAGTGTTGAAGCTTTCTTTTGATAGAGCAGTTTTGAAAAACTCTTTTTCTAAAATCTGCAAGAGGATATTTGGATAGCTTTGAGGATTTCGTTGGAAACGGGATTGTCTTCATATAAACTCTAGACAGAAGCATTCTCAGAAGCTTCATTGGGATGTTTCAATTGAAGTCACAGTGTTGAACAGTCCCTTTCATAGAGCAAGTTTGAAACACTCTTTTTGTAGTATCTGGAAGTGGACATTTGGAGAGATCTCAGGACTACGGTGAAAAAGGAAATATCTTCCAATAAAAGCTACATAGAAGCAATGTCAGAAACTTTTTCATGATGTATCTACTCAGCTAACAGAGTTGAACCTTTCTTTTGAGAGAGCAGTTTTGAAACACTCTTTTTGTGGAATCTGCAAGTGGATATTTGTCTAGCTTTGAGGATTTCGTTGGAAACGGGATTACATATAAAAAGCAGACAGCAGCATTCCCAGAAATTTCTTTGTGATGTTTGCATTCAAGTCACAGAGTTGAACATTCCCTTTCATACAGCAGGTTTGAAACACTCTTTTTGTAGTATCTGTATGTGGACATTTGGAGCGCTTTCAGGCCTATGGTGAAAAAGGAAATATCTTCCCCTGAAAACTAGACAGAAGCATTCTCAGAAACTTATTTGTGATGTGCGCCCTCAACTAACAGTGTTGAACCTTTCTTTTGATAGAGCAGTTTTGAAACACTCTTTTTGTAAAATCTGCAAGAGGATATTTGGATAGCTTTGAGGATTTCGTTGGAAACGGGATTGTCTTCATATAGAATCTAGACAGAAGCATTCTCAGAAGCTTCATTGGGATGTTTCAATTGAAGTCACAGTGTTGAACAGTCCCTTTCATAGAGCAGGTTTGAAACACTCTTTTTGTAGTATCTGGATGTGGACATTTGGAGCGCTTTCAGGCCTATGGTGAAAAAGGAAATATCTTCCCCTGAAAACTAGACAGAAGCATTCTCAGAAACTTATTTGTGATGTGCGCCCTCAACTAACAGTGTTGAAGCTTTCTTTTGATAGAGCAGTTTTGAAACACTCTTTTTGTAATATCTGCAAGAGGATATTTGGATAGCTTTGAGGATTTCGTTGGAAACGGGATTAATTATAAAAAGCAGACAGCAGCATTCTCAGAAACTTATTTGTGATGTGCGCCCTCAACTAACAGTGTTGAAGCTTTATTTTGATAGAGCAGTTTTGAAACACTCTTTTTGTAATATCTGCAAGAGAATATTTGGATAGCTTTGAGGATTTCGTTGGAAACGGGATTGTCTTCATATAAACTCTAGAAAGAAGCATTCTCAGAAGCTTCATTGGGATGTTTCAATTGAAGTCACAGTGTTGAACAGTCCCTTTCATAGAGCATGTTTGAAACAATCTTTTTGTAGTATCTGGAAGTGGACATTTGGAGCGCTCTCAGGACTACGGTGAAAAAGGAAATATCTTCCAAATAAAGCTAGATAGAAGCAATGTCAGAAACTTTTTCATGATGTATCTACTCAGCTAACAGAGTTGAACCTTTCCTTTGAGAGAGCAGTTTTGAAACACTCTTTTTGTGGAATCTGCAAGTGGATATTTGTCTAGCTTTGAGGATTTCGTTGGAAACGGGCTTACATATAAAAAGCAGACAGCAGCATTCCCAGAAACTTCTTTGTGTTGTTTGCATTCAAGTCACAGAGTTGAACATTCCCTTTCATAGAGCAGGTTTGAAACACTCTTTTTGTAGTATCTGGATGTGGACATTTGCAGCGCTTTCAGGCCTAAGGTGAAAAAGGAAATATCTTCCCCTGAAAACTAGACAGAAGCATTCTCAGAAACTTATTTGTGATGTGCGCCCTCAACTAACAGTGTTGAAGCTTTCTTTTGATAGAGCAGTTTTGAAACACTCTTTTTGTAAAATCTGCAAGAGGATATTTGGATAGCTTTGAGGATTTCGTTGGAAACGGGATTGTCTTCATATAAACTCTAGACAGAAGCATTCTCAGAAGCGTCATTGGGATGTTTCAATTGAAGTCACAGTGTTGAACAGTCCCTTTCATAGAGCAGGTTTGAAACACTCTTTTTGTAGTATCTGGATGTGGACATTTGGAGCGCTTTCAGGCCTATGGTTTAAAAGGAAATATCTTCCCCTGAAAACTAGACAGAAGCATTCTCAGAAACTTATTTGTGATGTGCGCCCTCAACTAACAGTGTTGAAGCTTTCTCTTGATAGAGCAGTTTTGAAACACTCTTTTTGTGGAATCTGCACGTGGATATTTGTCTAGCTTTGAGGATTTCGTTGGAAACGGGATTACATATAAAAAGCAGACAGCAGCATTCTCAGAAACTTATTTGTGATGTGCGCCCTCAACTAACAGTGTTGAAGCTTTATTTTGATAGAGCAGTTTTGAAACACTCTTTTTGTAATATCTGCAAGAGAATATTTGGATAGCTTTGAGGATTTCGTTGGAAACGGGATTGTCTTCATATAAACTCTAGAAAGAAGCATTCTCAGAAGCTTCATTGGGATGTTTCAATTGAAGTCACAGTGTTGAACAGTTCCTTTCATAGAGCAGGTTTGAAACACTCTTTTTGTAGTATCTGGAAGTGGACATTTGGAGCGCTCTCAGGACTACGGTGAAAAAGGAAATATCTTCCAATAAAAGCTAGATAGAAAGCAATGTCAGAAACTTTTTCATGATGTATCTACTCAGCTAACAGAGTTGAACCTTTCTTTTGAGAGAGCCGTTTTGAAACACTCTTTTTGTGGAATCTGCAAGTGGATATTTGTCTAGCTTTGAGGATTTCGTTGGAAACGGGATTACATATAAAAAGCAGACAGCAGCATTCCCAGAAACTTCTTTGTGATGTTTGCATTCACGTCACAGAGTTGAACATTCCCTTTCATAGAGCAGGTTTGAAACACTCTTTTTGTAGTATCTGGATGTGGACATTTGCAGCGCTTTCAGGCCTAAGGTGAAAAAGGAAATATCTTCCCCTGAAAACTAGACAGAAGCATTCTCAGAAACTTATTTGTGATGTGCGCCCTCAACTAACAGTGTTGAAGCTTTCTTTTGATAGAGCAGTTTTGAAACACTCTTTTTGTAATATCTGCAAGAGAATATTTGGATAGCTTTGAGGATTTCGTTGGAAACGGGATTGTCTTCATATAAACTCTAGAAAGAAGCATTCTCAGAAGCTTCATTGGGATGTTTCAATTGAAGTCACAGTGTTGAACACTCCCTTTCATAGAGCAGGTTTGAAACACTCTTTTTGTAGTATCTGGATGTGGACATTTGGAGCGCTTTCAGGCCTATGGTTTAAAAGGAAATATCTTCCCCTGAAAACTAGACAGAAGCATTCTCAGAAACTTATTTGTGATGTGCGCCCTCAACTAACAGTGTTGAAGCTTTCTTTTGATAGAGCAGTTTTGAAACACTCTTTTTGTAATATCTGCAAGAGAATATTTGGATAGCTTTGAGGATTTCGTTGGAAACGGGATTAATTATAAAAAGCAGACAGCAGCATTCTCAGTAAACTTATTTGTGATGTGCGCCCTCAACTAACAGTGTTGAACCTTTCTTTTGATAGAGCAGTTTTGAAACACTCTTTTTGTAATATCTGCAAGAGGATATTTGGATAGCTTTGAGGATTTCGTTGGAAACGGGATTGTCTTCATATAAACTCTAGACAGAAGCATTCTCAGAAGCTTCATTGGGATGTTTCAATTGAAGTCACAGTGTTGAACAGTCCCTTTCATAGAGCAGGTTTGAAACACTCTTTTTGTAGTATCTGGAAGTGGACATTTGGAGCGCTCTCAGGACTACGGTGAAAAAGGAAATATCTTCCAATAAAAGCTAGATAGAAGCAATGTCAGAAACATTTTCATGATGTATCTACTCAGCTAACAGAGTTGAACCTTTCTCTTGAGAGAGAAGTTTTGAAACCCACTTTTGGTGGAATCTGCAAGTGGATATTTGTCTAGCTTTGAGGATTTCGTTGAAAACGGGATTACATATAAAAAGCAGACAGTAGCATTCCCAGAAACTTCTTTGTGATGTTTGCATTCAAGTCACAGAGTTGAACATTCCCTTTCATAGAGCAGGTTTGAAACATTCTTTTTGTAGTATCTGGATGTGGACATTTGGAGCGCTTTCAGGCCTATGGTGAAAAAGGAAATATCTTCCCCTGAAAACTAGACAGAAGCATTCTCAGAAACTTATTTGTGATGTGCGCCCTCAACTAACAGTGTTGAACCTTTCTTTTGATAGAGCAGTTTTGAAACACTCTTTTTGTAATATCTGCAAGAGGATATTTGGATAGCTTTGAGGATTTCGTTGGAAACGGGATTGTCTTCATATAAACTCTAGACAGAAGCATTCTCAGAAGCTTCATTGGGATGTTTCAATTGAAGTCACAGTGTTGAACAGTCCCTTTCATAGAGCAGGTTTGAAACACTCTTTTTGTAGTATCTGGATGTGGACATTTCGAGCGCTTTCAGGCCTATGGTGAAAAAGGAAATATCTTCCCCTGAAAACTAGACAGAAGCATTCTCAGAAACTTATTTGTGATGTGCGCCCTCAACTAACAGTGTTGAACCTTTCTTTTGATAGAGCAGTTTTGAAACACTCTTTTTGTAATATCTGCAAGAGGATATTTGGATAGCTTTGAGGATTTCGTTGGAAACGGGATTACATATAAAAAGCAGACAGCAGCATTCTCAGAAACTTATTTGTGATGTGCGCCCTCAACTAACAGTGTTGAAGCTTTCTTTTGATAGAGCAGTTTTGAAACACTCTTTTTGTAATATCTGCAAGAGGATATTTGGATAGCTTTGAGGATTTCGTTGGAAACGGGATTAATTATACAAAGCAGACAGCAGCATTCTCAGAAGCTTCATTGGGATGTTTCAACTGAAGTCACAGTGTTGAACAGTCCCTTTCATAGAGCAGGTTTGAAACACTCTTTTTGTAGTATCTGGAAGTGGACATTTGGAGCGCTCTCAGGACTGCGGTGAAAAAGGAAATATCTTCCAATAAAAGCTAGATAGAAGCAATGTCAGAAAATTTTTCATGATGTATCTACTCAGCTAACAGAGTTGAAACTTTCTTTTGAGAGAGCAGTTTTGAAACACTCTTTTTGTGGAATCTGCAAGTGGATATTTGTCTAGCTTTGAGGATTGCGTTGGAAACGGGATTACATATAAAAAGCAGACAGCAGCATTCCCAGAAACTTCTGTGTGATATTTGCATTCAAGTCACAGACTTGAACATTCCCTTTCATAGAGCAGGTTTGAAACACTCTTTTTGTAGTATCTGGATGTGGACATTTGGAGCGCTTTCAGGCCTATGGTGAAAAAGGAAATATCTTCCCCTGAAAACTAGACAGAAGCATTCTCAGAAACTTATTTGTGATGTGCGCCCTCAACTAACAGTGTTGAACATTTCTTTTGATAGAGCAGTTTTGAAACACTCTTTTTGTAAAATCTGCAAGAGGATATTTGGATAGCTTTGAGGATTTCGTTGGAAACGGGATTGTCTTCATATAAAATCTAGACAGAAGCATTCTCAGAAGCTTCATTGGGATGTTTCAATTGAAGTCACAGTGTTGAACAGTCCCTTTCATAGAGCATGTTTGAAACACCCTTTTTGTAGTATCTGGAAGTGGACATTTGGAGCATTCTCAGGACTACGGTGAAAAAGGAAATATCTTCCAATAAAAGCTAGATAGAAGCAATGTCAGAAACTTTTTCATGATGTATCTACTCAGCTAACAGAGTTGAACCTTTCTTTTGAGAGAGCAGTTTTGAAACACTCTTTTTGTGGAATCTGCAAGTGGATATTTGTCTAGCTTTGAGGATTTCGTTGGAAACGGGATTACATATAAAAAGCAGACAGCAGCATTCCCAGTAACTTCTTTGTGGTGTTTGCATTCAAGTCACAGAGTTGAACATTCCCTTTCATAGAGCAGGTTTGAAACACTCTTTTTGTAGTATCTGGATGTGGACATTTGCAGCGCTTTCAGGCCTATGGTGAAAAAGGAAATATCTTCCCCTGAAAACTAGACAGAAGTAGTCTCAGAAACTTATTTGTGATGTGCGCCCTCAACTAACAGTGTTGAAGCTTTCTTTTGATAGAGCAGTTTTGAAACATTCTTTTTGTAAAATCTGCAAGAGGATATTTGGATAGCTTTGAGGATTTCGTTGGAAACGGGATTGTGTTCATATTAACCCTAGACAGTAGCATTCTCAGAAGCTTCATTGGGATGTTTCAATTGAAGTTGCAGTGTTGAACAGTCCCTTTCATAGAGCAGGTTTGAAACACTCTTTTTGTAGTATCTGGATGTGGACATTTGGAGCGCTTTCAGGCCTATGGTTTAAAAGGAAATATCTTCCCCTGAAAACTAGACAGAAGCATTCTCAGAAACTTATTTGTGATGTGCGCCCTCAACTAACAGTGTTGAAGCTTTCTTTTGATAGAGCAGTTTTGAAACACTCTTTTTGTGGAATCTGCAAGTGGATATTTGTCTAGATTTGAGGATTTCGTTGGAAACGGGATTACATATAAAAAGCAGACAGCAGCATTCTCAGTAAACTTATTTGTGATGTGCGCCCTCAACTAACAGTGTTGAACCTTTCTTTTGATAGAGCAGTTTTGAAACACTCTTTTTGTAATATCTGCAAGAGGATATTTGGATAGCTTTGAGGATTTCGTTGGAAACGGGATTGTCTTCATATAAACTCTAGACAGAATCATTCTCAGAAGCTTCATTGGGATGTTTCAATTGAAGTCACAGTGTTGAACAGTCCCTTTCATAGAGCAGATTTGAAACACTCTTTTTGTAGTATCTGGAAGTGGACATTTGGAGCGTTCTCAGGACTACAGTGAAAAAGGAAATATCTTCCAATAAAAGCTAGATAGAAGCAATGTCAGAAACTTTTTCATGATGTATCTACTCAGCTAACAGAGTTGAACCTTTCTTTTGACAGAGCAGTTTTGAAACACTCTTTTTGTGGAATCTGCAAGTGGATATTTGTCTAGCTTTGAGGATTTCGTTGGAAACGGGATTACATATAAAAAGCAGACAGCAGCATTCCCAGAAACTTCTTTGTGATGTTTGCATTCAAGTCAAAGAGTTGAACATTCCCTTTCATAGAGCAGGTTTGAAACGCGCTTTTTGTAGTATCTGGATTTGGACATTTGGAGCGCTTTCAGGCCTATGGTGAAAAAGGAAATATCTTCCACTGAAAACTAGACAGAAGCATACTCAGAATCTTATTTGTGATGTGCGCCCTCAACTAACAGTGTTGAAGCTTTCTTTTGATAGAGCAGTTTTGAAACACTCTTTTTGTAAAATCTGCAAGAGGATATTTGGATAGTTTTGAGGATTTCGTTGGAAACGGGATTGTCTTCATACAGAATCTAGACAGAAGCATTCTCAGAAGCTTCATTGGGATGTTTCAATTGAAGTCACAGTGTTGAACAGTCCCTTTCATAGAGCAGGTTTGAAACACTCTTTTTGTAGTATCTGGATGTGGACATTTGGAGCGCTTTCAGGCCTATGGTTTAAAAGGAAATATCTTCCCCTGAAAACTAGACAGAAGCATTCTCAGAAACTTATTTGTGATGTGCGCCCTCAACTAACAGTGTTGAAGCTTTCTTTTGATACAGCAGTTTTGAAACACTCTTTTTGTGGAATCTGCAAGTGTATATTTGTCTAGCTTTGAGGATTTCGTTGGAAACGGGATTACATATAAAAAGCAGACAGCAGCATTCTCAGTAAACTTATTTGTGATGTGCGCCCTCAACTAACAGTGTTGAACCTTTCTTTTGATAGAGCAGTTTTGAAACACTCTTTTTGTAATATCTGCAAGAGGATATTTGGATAGCTTTGAGGATTTCGTTGGAAACGGGATTGTCTTCATATAAACTCTAGACAGAAGCATTCTCAGAAGCTTCATTGGGATGTTTCAATTGAAGTCACAGTGTTGAACAGTCCCTTTCATAGAGCAGGTTTGAAACACTCTTTTTGTACTATCTGGAAGTGGACATTTGGAGCGCTCTCAGGACTACGGTGAAAAAGGAAATATCTTCCAATAAAAGCTAGATAGAAGCAATGTCAGAAACTTTTTCATGATGTATCTACTCAGCTAACAGAGTTGAACCTTTCTTTTGAGAGAGCAGTTTTGAAACACTCTTTTGGTGGAATCTGCAAGTGGATATTTGTCTAGCTTTGAGGATTTCGTTGGAAACGGGATTACATATAAAAAGCAGACAGCAGCATTCCCAGAATCTTGTTTGTCATGTTTGCATTCAAGTCACAGAGTTGAACATTCCCTTTCAGAGAGCAGGTTTGAAACACTCTTTTTATAGTATCTGGATGTGGACATTTGGAGCGCTTTCAGGCCTATGGTGAAAAAGGAAATATCTTCTCCTGAAAACTAGACAGAAGCATTCTCAGAATCTTATTTGTGATGTGCGCCCTCAACTAACAGTGTTGAAGCTTTCTTTTGATAGAGCAGTTTTGAAACACTCTTTTCGTAAAATCTGCAAGAGGATATTTTGATAGCTTTGAGGATTTCGTTGGAAACGGGATTGTCTTCTTATAAACTCTAGACAGAAGCATTCCCAGAAATTTCTTTGTGATGTTTGCATTCAAGTCACAGAGTTGAACATTCCCTTTCATAGAGCAGGTTTGAAACAATCTTTTTGTAGTATCTGGAATTGGACATTTGGAGAGGTCTCAGGAATACGGTGATAAAGGAAATATCTTCCAATAAAAGCTAGATAGAAGCAATGTCAGAAACTTTTTCATGATGTATCTACTCAGCTAACAGAGTTGAAACTTTCTTTTGAGAGAGCAGTTTTGAAACACTCTTTTTGTGGAATCGGCAACTGGATATTTGTCTAGCTTTGAGGATTTCGTTGGAAACGGGATTACATATAAAAAGCAGACAGCAGCATTCCCAGAATCTTCTTTGTGATGTTTGCATTCAAGTCACAGAGTTGAACATTCCCTTTCATAGAGCAGGTTTGAAACACTCTTTTTGTAGTATCTGGATGTGGACATTTGGAGCGCTTTCAGGCCTATGGTGAAAAAGGAAATATCTTCCCCTGAAAACTAGACAGAAGCATTCTCAGAAACTTATTTGTGATGTGCGCCCTCAACTAACAGTGTTGAACCTTTCTTTTGATAGAGCAGTTTTGAAACACTCTTTTTGTAATATCTGCAAGAGTATATTTGGATAGCTTTGAGGATTTCGTTGGAAACGGGATTGTCTTCATATAAACTCTAGACAGAAGCATTCTCAGAAGCGTCATTGGGATGTTTCAATTGAAGTCACAGTGTTGAACAGTCCCTTTCATAGAGCAGGTTTGAAACACTCTTTTTGTAGTATCTGGATGTGGACATTTGGAGCGCTTTCAGGCCTATGGTTTAAAAGGAAATATCTTCCCCTGAAAACTAGACAGAAGCATTCTCAGAAACTTATTTGTGATGTGCGCCTTCAACTAACAGTGTTGAAGCATTCTTTTGATAGAGCAGTTTTGAAACACTCTTTTTGTGGAATCTGCAAGTGGATATTTGTCTAGCTTTGAGGATTTCGTTGGAAACGGGATTACATATAAAAAGCAGACAGCAGCATTCTCAGCAAACTTATTTGTGATGTGCGCCCTCAACTAACAGTGTGGAACTTTTCTTTTGATAGAGCAGTTTTGAAACACTCTTTTTGTAAAATCTGCAAGAGGATATTTGGATAGCTTTGAGGATTTCGTTGGAAACGGGATTGTCTTCATATAGAATCTAGACAGAAGCATTCTCAGAAGCTTCATTGGGATGTTTCAATTGAAGTCACAGTGTTGAACAGTCCCTTTCATAGAGCAGGTTTGAAACACTCTTTTTGTAGTATCTGGAAGTGGACATTTGGAACGCTCTCAGGACTGCGGTGAAAAAGGAAATATCTTCCAATAAAAGCTAGATAGAAGAAATGTCAGAAACTTTTTCATGATGTATCTACTCAGCTAACAGAGTTGAACCTTTCCTTTGAGAGAGCAGTTTTGAAACACTCTTTTTGTGGAATCTGTAAGTGGATATTTGTCTAGCTTTGAGGATTTCGTTGGAAACGGGATTACATATAAAAAGCAGACAGCAGAATTCCCAGTAACTTCTTTGTGATGTTTGCATTCAAGTCACAGAGTTGAACATTCCCTTTCATAGAGCAGGTTTGAAACACTCTTTTTGTAGTACCTGGATGTGGACATTTTGAGCGCTTTGAGGCCTATGGTGAAAAAGGAAATCTCTTCCCCTGAAAACTAGACAGAAGAATTCTCAGAATCTTATTTGTGATGTGCGCCCTCAACTAACAGTGTTGAAGCTTTCTTTTGATAGAGCAGTTTTGAAACACTCTTTTTGTTAAATCTGCAAGAGGATATTTGGATAGCTTTGAGGATTTCGTTGGAAACGGGATTGTCTTCATATAAACTCTAGACAGAAGCATTCTCAGAAGCTTCATTGGGATGTTTCAATTGAAGTCACAGTGTTGAACAGTCCCTTTCATAGAGCAGGTTTGAAACACTCTTTTTGTAGTATCTGGATGTGGACATTTGCAGCGCTTTCAGGCCTAAGGTGAAAAAGGAAGTATCTTCCCCTGAAAACTAGACAGAAGCATTCTCAGAAACTTATTTGTGATGTGCGCCCTCAACTAACAGTGTTGAAGCATTCTTTTGATAGAGCAGTTTTGAAACACTCTTTTTGTGGAATCTGCAAGTGGATATTTGTCTAGCTTTGAGGATTTCGTTCGAAACGGGATTACATATAAAAAGCAGACAGCAGCATTCTCAGAAACTTATTTGTGATGTGCGCCCTCAACTAACAGTGTTGAAGCTTTCTTTTGATAGAGCAGTTTTGAAACACTCTTTTTGTAATATCTGCAAGAGGATATTTGGATAGCTCTGAGGATTTCGTTGGAAACGGGATTGTCTTCATATAAACTCTAGACAGAAGCATTCTCAAAAGCTTCATTGGGATGTTTCAATTGAAGTCACAGTGTTGAACAGTCCCTTTCATAGAGCAGGTTTGAAACACTCTTTTTGTAGTATCTGGAAGTGGACATTTGGAGCCCTCTCAGGACTCCGGTGATAAAGGAAATATCTTCCAATAAAAGCTAGATAGAAGCAATGTCAGAAACTTTTTCATGATGTATCTACTCAGCTAACAGAGTTGAACCTTTCTTTTGAGAGAGCAGTTTTGAAACACTCTTTTTGTGGAATCTGCAAGTGGATATTTTTCTAGCTTTGAGGATTTCGTTGGAAACGGGATTACATATAAAAAGCAGACAGCAGCATTCCCAGAAACTTCTTTGTGATGTTTGCAGTCAAGTCACAGAGTTGAACATTCCCTTTCATAGAGCAGGTTTGAAACACTCTTTTTGTAGTATCTGGATGTGGACATTTGCAGCGCTTTCAGGCATAAGGTGAAAAAGGAAATATCTTCCCCTGAAAACTAGACAGAAGCATTCTCAGAAACTTATTTGTGATGTGCGCCCTCAACTAACAGTGTTGAACCTTTCTTTTGATAGAGCAGTTTTGAAACACTCTTTTTGTAATATCTGCAAGAGGATATTTGGATAGCATTGAGGATTTCTTTGGAAACGGGATTGTCTTCATATAAACTCTAGACAGAAGCATTCTCAGAAGCTTCATTGGGATGTTTCAATTGAAGTCACAGTGTTGAACAGTCCCTTTCATAGAGCAGGTTTGAAACACTCTTTTTGTAGTATCTGGAAGTGGACATTTGGAGAGATCTCAGGAACACGGTGATAAAGGAAATATCTTCCAATAAAAGCTAGATAGAAGCAATGTCAGAAACTTTTTCATGATGTATCTACTCAGCTAAAAGAGTTGAACCTTTCTTTTGAGAGAGCAGTTTTGAAACACTATTTTTGTGGAATCTGCAAGTGGATATTTGTCTAGCTTTGAGGATTTCGTTGGAAACGGGATTACATATAAAAAGCAGACAGCAGCATTCCCAGAAACTTCTTTGTGATGTTTGCATTCAAGTCACAGAGTTGAACATTCCCTTTCATAGAGCAGGTTTGAAACACTCTTTTTGTAGTATCCGGATGTGGAGATTTGGAGCGCTTTCAGGCCTATGGTTAAAAAGGAAATATCTTCCCATGAAAACTAGACAGAAGCATTCTCAGAAACTTATTTGTGATGTGCGCCCTCAAGTAACAGTATTAAACCATTCTTTTCATGGAGTAGTTTTGAAACACTCTTTTTGTAAAATCTGCAAGAGGATATTTGGATAGCTTTGAAGATTTCGTTGGAAACGGGATTGTCTTCATATAAACTCTAGACAGAAGCATTCTCAGAAGCTTCATTGGGATGTTTCAATTGAAGTCACAGTGTTCAACATTCCCTTTCATAGAGCAGGTTTGAAACACTCTTTTTGTAGTACCTGGAAGTGGATATTTGGAGCGTTCTCAGGAATACGGTGAAAAAGGAAATATCTTCCAATAAAAGCTAGATAGAAGCAATGTCAGAAACTTTTTCATGATGTATCTACTCAGCTAACAGAGTTGAACCTTTCCTTTGAGAGAGCAGTTTTGAAACACTCTTTTTGTGGAATCTGCAAGTGGATATTTGTCTAGCTTTGAGGATTTCGTTGGAAACGGGATTACATATAAAAAGCAGACAGCAGCATTCCCAGAATCTTGTTTGTGATGTTTGCATTCAAGTCACAGAGTTGAACATTCCCTTTCAGAGAGCAGGTTTGAAACACTCTTATTATAGTATCTGGATGTGGACGTTTGGAGCGCTTTCAGGCCTATGGTGAAAAAGGAAATATCTTCTCCTGAAAACTAGACAGAAGCATTCTCAGAATCTTATTTGTGATGTGCGCCCTCAACTAACAGAGTTGAAGCTTTCTTTTGATAGAGCAGTTTTGAAACACTCTTTTTGTAAAATCTGCAAGAGGATATTTGGATAGCTTTGAGGATTTCGTTGGAAACGGGATTGTCTTCATATAAACTCTAGACAGAAGCATTCACAGAAGCCTCATTGGGATGTTTCAATTGAAGTCACAGTGTTGAACAGTCCCTTTCATAGAGCAGGTTTGAAACACTCTTTTTGTAGTATCTGGATGTGGACATTTGGAGCACTTTCAGGCCTATGGTGAAAAAGGAAATATCTTCCTCTGAAAACTAGACAGAAGCATTCCCAGAAACTTCTTTGTGATGTTTGCATTCAAGTCACAGAGTTGAACATTCCCTTTCATAGAGCAGGTTTGAAACACTCTTTTTGTAGTATCTGGATTTGGAGATTTGGAGCGCTTTCAGGCCTATGGTGAAAAAGGAAATATCTTCCACTGAAAACTAGACAGAAGTAGTCTCAGAAACTTATTTGTGATGTGCGCCCTCAACTAACAGTGTTGAAGCTTTCTTTTGACAGAGCAGTTTTGAAACATTCTTTTTGTAAAATCTGCAAGAGGATATTTGGATAGCTTTTAGGATTTCGTTGGAAACGGGATTGTCTTCATATTAACCCTAGACAGTAGCATTCTCAGAAGCTTCATTGGGATGTTTCAATTGAAGTCACAGTGTTGAACAGTCCCCTTCATAGAGCAGGTTTGAAACACTCTTTTTGTAGCATCTGGAAGTGGACATTTGGAGCGTTCTCAGGACTATGGTGAAAAAGGAAATAACTTCCAATAAAAGCTAGATAGAATCAATGTCAGAAACTTTTTCATGATGTATCTACTCAGCTAACAGAGTTGAACCTTTCCTTTGAGAGAGCAGTTTTGAAACACTCTTTTTGTGGAATCTGCAAGTGGATATTTGTCTAGCTTTGAGGATTTCGTTGGAAACGGGATTACATATAAAAAGCAGACAGCAGCATTCCCAGAAACTTCTTTGTGATGTTTGCATTCAAGTCACAGAGTTGAACATTCCCTTTCATAGAGCAGGTTTGAAACACTCTTTTTGTAGTATCTGGATGTGGACATTTGCAGCGCTTTCAGGCCTAAGGTGAAAAAGGAAATATCTTCCCCTGAAAACTAGACAGAAGCATTCTCAGAAACTTATTTGTGATGTGCGCCCTCAACTAACAGTGTTGAAGCTTTCTTTTGATAGAGCAGTTTTGAAACACTCTTTTTGTAATATCTGCAAGAGGATATTTGGATAGCTTTGAGGATTTCGTTGGAAACGGGATTGTCTTCATATAAACTCTAGAAAGAAGCATTCTCAGAAGCTTCATTGGGATGTTTCAATTGAAGTCACAGTGTTGAACAGTCCCTTTCATAGAGCAGGTTTGAAACACTCTTTTTGTAGTATCTGGATGTGGACATTTGGAGCGCTTTCAGGCCTATGGTTTAAAAGGAAATATCTTCCCCTGAAAACTAGACAGAAGCATTCTCAGAATCTTATTTGTGATGTGCGCCCTCAACTAACAGTGTTGAAGCTTTCTTTTGATAGAGCAGTTTTGAAACACTCTTTTTGTAAAATCTGCAAGAGGATATTTGGATAGCTTTGAGGATTTCGTTGGAAACGGGATTACATATAAAAAGCAGACAGCAGCATTCTCAGAAACTTATTTGTGATGTGCGCCCTCAACTAACAGTGTTGAAGCTTTATTTTGATAGAGCAGTTTTGAAACACTCTTTTTGTAATATCTGCAAGAGAATATTTGGATAGCTTTGAGGATTTCGTTGGAAACGGGATTGTCTTCATATAAACTCTAGAAAGAAGCATTCTGAGAAGCTTCATTGGGATGTTTCAATTGAAGTCACAGTGTTGAACAGTCCCTTTCATAGAGCAGGTTTGAAACACTCTTTTTGTAGCATCTGGAAGTGGACAGTTGGAGCGTTCTCAGGACTACGGTGAAAAAGGAAATATCTTCCAATAAAAGCTAGATAGAAGCAATGTCAGAAACTTTTTCATGATGTATCTACTCAGCTAACAGAGTTGAACCTTTCTTTTGAGAGAGCAGTTTTGAAACACTCTTTTTGTGGAATCTGCAAGTGGATATTTGTCTAGCTTTGAGGATTTCGTTGGAAACGGGATTACATATAAAAAGCAGACAGCCAGCATTCCCAGAATCTTCTTTGTGATGTTTGCATTCAAGTCACAGAGTTGAACATTCCCTTTCATAGAGCAGGTTTGAAACACTCTTTTTGTAGTATCTGGATGTGGACATTTGGAGCGCTTTCAGGCCTATGGTGAAAAAGGAAATATCTTCCCCTGAAAACTAGACAGAGCATTCTCAGAATCTTATTTGTGATGTGCGCCCTCAACTAACAGTGTTGAAGCTTTCTTTTGATAGAGCAGTTTTGAAACACTCTTTTTGTAAAATCTGCAAGAGGATATTTGGATAGCTTTGAGGATTTCTTTGGAAACGGGATTGTCTTCATATAAACTCTAGACAGAAGCATTCCCAGAAACTTCTTTGTGATGTTTGCATTCAAGTCACAGAGTTGAACATTCCCTTTCATAGAGCACGTTTGAAACACTCTTTTTGTAGTATCTGGATGTGGACATTTGCAGCGCTTTCAGGCCTAAGGTGAAAAAGGAAATATCTTCCCCTGAAAACTAGACAGAAGCATTCTCAGAAACTTATTTGTGATGTGCGCCCTCAACTAACAGTGTTGAAGCTTTCTTTTGATAGAGCAGTTTTGAAACACTCTTTTTGTGGAATCTGCAAGTGGATATTTGTCTAGCTTTGAGGATTTCGTTGGAAACGGGATTACATATAAAAAGCAGACAGCAGCATTCTCAGAAACTTATTTGTGATGTGCGCCCTCAACTAACAGTGTTGAAGCTTTCTTTTGATAGAGCAGTTTTGAAACACTCTTTTTGTAATATCTGAAAGAGGATATTTGGATAGCTTTGAGGATTTCGTTGGAAACGGGATTGTCTTCATATAAACTCTAGACAGAAGCATTCTCAGAAGCTTCATTGGGATGTTTCAATTGAAGTCACAGTGTTGAACAGTCCCTTTCATAGAACAGGTTTGAAACACTCTTTTTGTAGTATCTGGAAGTGGACATTTGGAGCGCTCTCAGGACTATGGTGAAAAAGGAAATATCTTCCAATAAAAGCTACATAGAAGCAATGTCAGAAACTTTTTCATGATGTATCTACTCAGCTAACAGAGTTGAACCTTTCCTTTGAGAGAGCAGTTTTGAAACACTCTTTTTGTGGAATCTGCAAGTGGATATATGCTTAGCTTTGAGGATTTCGTTGGAAACGGGATTACATATAAAAAGCAGACAGCAGCATTCCCAGAAACTTCTTTGTGAAGTTTGCATTCAAGTCACAGAGTTGAACATTCGCTTTCATAGAGCAGGTTTGAAACACTCTTTTTGTAGTATCTGTATGTGGACATTTGGAGCGCTTTCAGGCCTATGGTGAAAAAGGAAATATCTTCCCCTGAAAACTAGACAGAAGCATTCTCAGAATCTTATTTGTGATGTGCGCCCTCAACTAACAGTGTTGAAGCTTTCTTTTGATAGAGCAGTTTTGAAACACTCTTTTTGTAAAATCTGCAAGAGGATACTTGGATAGCTTTGAGGATTTCGTTGGAAACAGGATTGTCTTCATATAAACTCTAGACAGAAGCATTCTCAGAAGCTTCATTGGGATGTTTCAATTGAAGTCACAGTGTTGAACAGTCCCTTTCATAGAGCAGGTTTGAAACACTCTTTTTGTAGTATCTGGATGTGGACATTTCGAGCGCTTTCAGGCCTATGGTGAAAAAGGAAATATCTTCCCCTGAAAACTAGACAGAAGCATTCTCAGAAACTTATTTGTGATGTGCGCCCTCAACTAACAGTGTTGAAGCTTTCTTTTGATAGAGCAGTTTTGAAACACTCTTTTTGTGGAATCTGCAAGTGGATATTTGTCTAGCTTTGAGGATTTCGTTGGAAACGGGATTACATATAAAAAGCAGACAGCAGCATTCTCAGTAAACTTATTTGTGATGTGCGCCCTCAACTAACAGTGTTGAACCTTTCTTTTGATAGAGCAGTTTTGAAACACTCTTTTTGTAATATCTGCAAGAGGATATTTGGATAGCTTTGAGGATTTCGTTGGAAACGGGATTGTCTTCATATAAACTCTAGACAGAAGCATTCTCAGAAGCTTCATTGGGATGTTTCAATTGAAGTCACAGTGTTGAACAGTCCCTTTCATAGAGCAGGTTTGAAACACTCTTTTTGTAGTATCTGGAAGTGGACATTTGGAGCACTCTCAGGACTACGGTGAAAAGGGAATTATCTTCCAATAAAAGCTAGATAGAAGCAATGTCAGAAACTTTTTCATGACGTATCTACTCAGCTAACAGATTTGAACCTTTCTTTTGAGAGAGCAGTTTTGAAACACTCTTTTTGTGGAATCTGCAAGTGGATATTTGTCTAGCTTTGAGGATTTCGTTGGAAACGGGATTACATATAAAAAGCAGACAGCAGCATTCCCAAAAACTTCTTTGTGATGTTTGCATTCAAGTCCCAGAGTTGAACATTCCCTTTCATAGAGCAGGTTTGAAACACTCTTTTTGTAATATCTGGATGTGGACATTTGGAGCGCTTTCAGGCCTATGGTGAAAAAGGAAATATCTTCCCCTGAAAACTAGACAGAAGCATTCTCAGAAACTTATTTGCGATGGGCGCCCTCAACTAACAGTGTTGAAGCTTTCTTTTGATAGAGCAGTTTTGAAACACTCTTTTCGTAAAATCTGCAAGAGGATATTTGGATAGCTTTGAGGATTTCGTTGGAAACGGGATTGTCTTCATATAAACTCTAGACAGAAGCATTCTCAGAAGCTTCATTGGGATGTTTCAATTGAAGTCACAGTGTTGAACAGTCCCTTTCATAGAGCAGGTTTGAAACACTCTTTTTGTAGTATCTGGATGTGGACATTTCGAGCGCTTTCAGGCCTATGGTGAAAAAGGAAATATCTTCCCCTGAAAACTAGACAGAAGCATTCTCAGAAACTTATTTGTGATGTGCGCCCTCAACTAACAGTGTTGAAGCTTTCTTTTGATAGAGCAGTTTTGAAACACTCTTTTTGTGGAATCTGCAAGTGGATATTTGTCTAGCTTTGAGGATTTCGTTGGAAACGGGATTACATATAAAAAGCAGACAGCAGCATTCTCAGAAACTTATTTGTGATGTGCGCCCTCAACTAACAGTGTTGAAGCTTTCTTTTGATAGAGCAGTTTTGAAACACTCTTTTTGTAATATCTGCAAGAGGATATTTGGATAGCTTTGAGGATTTCGTTGGAAACGGGATTAATTATACAAAGCAGACAGCAGCATTCTCAGAAGCTTCATTCGGATGTTTCAATTGAAGTCAAAGTGTTGAACAGTCCCTTTCATAGAGCATGTTTGAAACACTCTTTTTGTAGTATCTGGAAGTGGACATTTGGAGCGTTCTCAGGACTACAGTGAAAAAGGAAATATCTTCCAATAAAAGCTAGATAGAAGCAATGTCAGAAACTTTTTCATGATGTATCTACTCAGCTAACAGAGTTGAACCTTTCTTTTGAGAGAGCAGTTTTGAAACACTCTTTTTGTGGAATCTGCAATTGGATATTTGTCTAGCTTTGAGGATTTCGTTGGAAACGGGATTACATATAAAAAGCAGACAGCAGCATTCCCAGTAACATCTTTGTGATGTTTGCATTCAAGTCACAGAGTTGAACATTCCCTTTCATAGAGCAGGTTTGAAACACTCTTTTTGTAGTATCTGGATGTGGACATTTGGAGCACTTTCAGGCCTATGGTGAAAAAGGAAATATCTTCCCCTGAAAACTAGACAGAAGCATTCTCAGAATCTTATTTGTGATGTGCGCCCTCAACTAACAGTGTTGAAGCTTTCTTTTGATAGAGCAGTTTTGAGACACACTTTTCGTAAAATCTGCAAGAGGATATTTTGATAGCTTTGAGGATTTCGTTGGAAACGGGATTGTCTTCATATAAACTCTAGACAGAAGCATTCTCAGAAGCTTCATTGGGATGTTTCAGTTGAAGTCACAGTGTTGAACAGTCCCTTTCATAGAGCAGGTTTGAATCGCTCTTTTTGTAGTATCTGGAAGTGGACATTTGCAGCGCTCTCAGGACTGCGGTGAAAAAGGAAATATCTTCCAATAAAAGCTAGATAGAAGCAATGTCAGAAACTTTTTCATGATGTATCTACTCAGCTAACAGAGTTGAACCTTCCTTTGAGAGAGCAGTTTTGAAACACTCTTTTTGTGGAATCTGCAAGGGGATATTTGCCTAGCTTTGAGGATTTCGTTGGAAACGGGATTACATATAAAAAGCAGACAGCAGCATTCCCAGTAACTTCTTTGTGATGTTTGCATTCAAGTCACAGAGTTGAACATTCCCTTTCATAGAGCAGGTTTGAAACACTCTTTTTGTAGTATCTGGATGTGGACATTTGGAGCGCTTTCAGGCCTATGGTGAAAAAGGAAATATGTTCCCCTGAAAACTAGACAGAAGCATTCGCAGAATCTTATTTGTGATGTGCGCCCTCAACTAACAGTGTTGAAGCTTTCTTTTGATAGAGCAGTTTTGAAACACTCTTTTTGTAAAATCTGCAAGAGGATATTTGGATAGCTTTGAGGATTTCGTTGGAAACGGGATTGTCTTCATATAAACTCTAGACAGAAGCATTCTCAGAAGCTTCATTGGGATGTTTCAATTGAAGTCACAGTGTTGAAAAGTCCCTTTCATAGAGCAGGTTTGAAACACTCTTTTTGCAGTAGCTGGAAGTGGACATTTGGAGAGATCTCAGGAATACAGTGATAAAGGAAATATCTTCCAATAAAAGCTAGATAGAAGCAATGTCAGAAACTTTTTCATGATGTATCTACTCAGCTAACAGAGTTGAACCTTTCCTTTGGGAGAGCAGTTTTGAAACACTCTTTTTGTGGAATCTGCAAGTGGATATTTGTCTAGCTTTGAGGATTTCGTTGGAAACGGGATTACATATAAAAAGCAGACAGCAGCATTCCCAGAAACTTCTTTGAGATGTTTGCATTCAAGTCACAGAGTTGAACATTCCCTTTCATAGAGCAGGTTTGAAACACTCTTTTTGTAGTATCTGGATGTGGACATTTGGAGCGCTTTCAGGCCTATGGTGAAAAAGGAAATATCTTCCCCTGAAAACTAGACAGAAGCATTCTCAGAATCTTATTTGTGATGTGCGCCGTCAACTAACAGTGTTGAAGCTTTCTTTTGATAGAGCAGTTTTGAAACACTCTTTTCGTAAAATCTGCAGGAGGATATTTTGATAGCTTTGAGGATTTCGTTGGAAACGGGATTGTCTTCATATAAACTCTAGACAGAAGCATTCTCAGAAGCTTCATTGGGATGTTTCAATTGAAGTCACAGTGTTGAACAGTCCCTTTCATAGAGCAGGTTTGAAACACTCTTTTTGTAGTATCTGGATGTGGACATTTGGAGCGCTTTCAGGCCTAAGGTGAAAAAGGAAATATCTTCCCCTGAAAACTAGACAGAAGCATTCTCAGAAACTTATTTGTGATGTGCGCCCTCAACTAACAGTGTTGAAGCATTCTTTTGATAGAGCAGTTTTGAAATACTCTTTTTGTGGAATCTGCAAGTAGATATTTGTCTAGCTTTGAGGATTTCGTTGGAAACGGGATTACATATAAAAAGCAGACAGCAGCATTCTCAGTAAACTTATTTGTGATGTGCGCCCTCAACTAACAGTGTTGAACCTTTCTTTTGATAGAGCAGTTTTGAAACACTCTTTTTGTAATATCTGCAAGAGGATATTTGGATAGCTTTGAGGATTTCGTTGGAAACGGGATTGTCTTCATATAAACTCTAGACAGAAGCATTCTCAGAAGCTTCATTGGGATGTTTCAGTTGAAGTCACAGTGTTGAACAGTCCCTTTCATAGAGCAGGTTTGAAACACTCTTTTTGTAGTATCTGGAAGTGGACATTTGGAGCGCTCACAGGACTGCGGTGAAAAAGGAAATATCTTCCAATAAAAGCTAGATAGAAGCAATGTCAGAAACATTTTCATGATGTATCTACTCAGCTAACAGAGTTGAACCTTCCTTTGAGAGACCAGTTTTGAAACACTCTTTTTGTGGAATCTGCAAGTGGATATTTGTCTAGCTTTGAGGATTTCGTTGGAAACGGGATTACATATAAAAAGCAGCCAGCAGCGTTCCCAGAAACTTCTTTGTGATGTTTGCATTCAAGTCACAGAGTTGAACATTCCCTTTCGTAGAGCAAGTTTGAAACACTCTTTTTGTAGTATCTGGTTGTGGACATTTGCAGCGCTTTCAGGCCTAAGGTGAAAAAGGAAATATCTTCCCCTGAAAACTAGACAGAAAGCATTCTCAGAATCTTATTTGTGATGTGCGCCCTCAACTAACAGTGTTGAAGCTTTCTTTTGATAGAGCAGTTTTGAAACACTCTTTTCGTAAAATCTGCAAGAGGATATTTTGATAGCTTTGAGGATTTCGTTGGAAACGGGATTGTCTTCATATAAACTCTAGACAGAAGCATTCTCAGAAGCTTCATTGGGATGTTTCAATTGAAGTCACAGTGTTGAACAGTCCCTTTCATAGAGCAGGTTTGAAACACTCTTTTTGTAGTATCTGGATGTGGACATTTCGAGCGCTTTCAGGCCTATGGTGAAAAAGGAAATATCTTCCCCTGAAAACTAGACAGAAGCCTTCTCAGAAACTTATTGGTGATGTGCGCCCTCAACTAACAGAGTTGAACCTTTCTTTTGAGAGAGCAGTTTTGAAACACTCTTTTTGTGGAATCTGCAAGTGGATATTTGTCTAGCTTTGAGGAATTCGTTGGAAACGGGATTACATATAAAAAGCAGACAGAAGAATTCTCAGAATCTTATTTGTGATGTGCGCCCTCAACTAACAGTGTCGAAGCTTTCTTTTGATAGAGCAGTTTCGAAAAACTCTTTTCGTAAAATCTGCAAGAGGATATTTTGATAGCTTTGAGGATTTCGTTGGAAACGGGATTGTCTTCATATAAACTCTAGACAGAAGCATTCTCAGAAGCTTCATTGGGATGTTTCAATTGAAGTCACAGTGTTGAACAGTCCCTTTCATAGAGCAGGTTTGAAACACTCTTTTTGTAGTATCTGGAAGTGGACATTTGGAGAGATCTCAGGAATACGGTGATAAAGGAAATATCTTCCAATAAAAGCTAGATAGAAGCAATGTCAGAAAATTTTTCATGATGTATCTACTCAGCTAACAGAGTTGAACCTTTCTTTTGAGAGAGCAGTTTTGAAACACTCTTTGTGTGGAATCTGCAAGTGGATATTTGTCTAGGTTTGAGGATTGCGTTTGAAACGGGATTACATATAAAAAGCAGACAGCAGCATTCCCAGAAATTTCTTAGTGATGTTTGCATTCAAGTCACAGAGTTGAACATTCCCTTTCATAGAGCAGGTTTGAAACACTCTTTTTGTAGTATCTGGATGTGGACATTTGGAGCGCTTTCAGGCCTATGGTGAAAAAGGAAATATCTTCCCCTGAAAACTAGACAGAAGCTTTCTCAGAATCTTATTTGTGATGTGCGCCCTCAACTAACAGTGTTGAAGCTTTCTTTTGATAGAGCAGTTTTGAAACACTCTTTTTGTAAAATCTGCAAGAGGATATTTGGATAGCTTTGAGGATTTCGTTGGAAACGGGATTGTCTTCATATAAACTCTGGACAGAAGCATTCTCAGAAGCTTCATTGGGATGTTTCAATTGAAGTCACAGTGTTGAACAGTCCCTTTCATAGAGCAGGTTTGAAACACTCTTTTTGTAGTATCTGGATGTGGACATTTGGAGCGCTTTCAGGCCTATGGTTTAAAAGGAAATATCTTCCCCTGAAAACTAGACAGAAGCATTCTCAGAAACTTATTTGTGATGTGCGCCCTCAACTAACAGTGTTGAAGCATTCTTTTGATAGAGCAGTTTTGAAACACTCTTTTTGTGGAATCTGCAAGTGGATATTTGTACTAGCTTTGAGGATTTCGTTGGAAACGGGATTACATATAAAAAGCAGACAGCAGCATTCTCAGAAACTTATTTGTGATGTGCGCCCTCAACTAACAGTGTTGAAGCTTTCTTTTGATAGAGCAGTTTTGAAACACTCTTTTTGTAATATCTGCAAGAGGATATTTGGATAGCTTTGAGGATTTCGTTGGAAACGGGATTAATTATACAAAGCAGACAGCAGCATTCTCAGAAGCTTCATTGGGATGTTTCAATTAAAGTCACAGTGTTGAACAGTCCCTTTCATAGAGCAGGTTTGAAACACTCTTTTTGTAGTATCTGGAAGTGGACATTTGGAGCGCTCTCAGGACTGCGGTGAAAAAGGAAATATCTTCCAATAAAAGCTAGATAGAAGCAATGTCAGAAACTTTTTCATGATGTATCTACTCAGCTAACAGAGTTGAACCTTCCTTTGAGAGAGCAGTTTTGAAACACTCTTTTTGTGGAATCTGCAAGTGGATATTTGTCTAGCTTTGAGGATTTCGTTGGAAACGGGTTACATATAAAAAGCAGACAGCAGCATTCCCAGTAACTTCTTTGTGATGTTTGCATTCAAGTCACAGAGTTGAACATTCCCTTTCATAGAGCAGGTTTCAAACACTTTTTTTGTAGTATCTGGATGTGGACATTTGGAGCGCTTTCAGGCCTATGGTGAAAAAGGAAATATCTTCCAATAAAAGCTACATAGAAGCATTCTCAGAAACCTATTTGTGATGGGCGCCCTCAACTAACAGTGTTTAACCTTTCTTTTGATAGAGCAGTTTTGAAACACTCTTTTTGTAAAATCTGCAAGAGGATATTTGGATAGCTTTGAGGATTTCGTTGGAAACGGGATTGTCTTCATATAAACTCTAGACAGAAGCATTCTCAGAAGCTTCATTGGGATGTTTCAATTGAAGTCACAGTGTTGAACAGTCCCTTTCATAGAACAGGTTTGAAACACTCTTTTTGTAGTATCTGGAAGTGGACATTTGGAGCGCTCTCAGGACTACGGTGAAAAAGGAAATATCTTCCAATAAAAGCTACATAGAAGCAATGTCAGAAACTTTTTCATGATGTATCTACTCAGCTAACAGAGTTGAACCTTTCCTTTGAGAGAGCAGTTTTGAAACACTCTTTTTGTGGAATCTGCAAGTGGATATTTGTCTAGCTTTGAGGATTTCGTTGGAAACGGGATTACATATAAAAAGCAGACAGCCAGCATTCCCAGTAAACTTCTTTGTGATGTTTGCATTCAAGTCACAGAGTTGAACATTCCCTTTCATAGAGCAGGTTTGAAACACTCTTTTTGTAGTATCTGGATGTGGACATTTGGAGCGCTTTCGGGCCTATGGTGAAAAAGGAAATATCTTCCCCTGAAAACTAGACAGAAGCATTCTCAGAAACTTATTTGTGATGTGCGCCCTCAACTAACAGTGTTAAACCTTTCTTTTGATAGAGTAGTTTTGAAACACTGTTTGTGTAAAATCTGCAAGAGGATATTTGGATAGCTTTGAGGATTTCGTTGGAAACGGGATTGTCTTCATATAAAATCTAGACAGAAGCATTCTCAGAAGCTTCATTGGCATGTTTCAATTGAAGTCACAGTGTTGAACAGTCCCTTTCATAGAGCACGTTTGAAACACTCTTTTTGTAGTATCTGGATGTGGACATTTGGAGCGCTTTCAGGCCTAAGGTTTAAAAGGAAATATCTTCCCCTGAAAACTAGACAGAAGCATTCTCAGAAACTTATTTGTGATGTGCGCCCTCAACTAACAGTGTTGAACCTTTCTTTTGATAGAGCAGTTTTGAAACACTCTTTTTGTAATATCTGCAAGAGGATATTTGGATAGCTTTGAGGATTTCGTTGGAAACGGGATTAATTATAAAAAGCAGACAGCAGCATTCTCAGAAACTTATTTGTGATGTGCGCCCTCAACTAACAGTGTTGAAGCTTTCTTTTGATAGAGCAGTTTTGAAACACTCTTTTTGTAATATCTGCAAGAGGATATTTGGATAGCTTTGAGGATTTCGTTGGAAACGGGATTAATTATACAAAGCAGACAGCAGCATTCTCAGAAGCTTCATTGGGATGTTTCAATTGAAGTCACAGTGTTGAACAGTCCCTTTCATAGAGCAGGTTTGAAACACTCTTTTTGTAGTATCTGGAAGTGGACATTTGGAGAGATCTCAGGAATACGGTGATAAAGGAAATATCTTCCAATAAAAGCTAGATAGAAGCAATGTCAGGAAACATTTTCATGATGTATCTACTCAGCTAACAGAGTTGAACCTTTCTTTTGAGAGAGCAGTTTTGAAACACTCTTTTTGTGGAATCTGCAAGTGGATATTTGTCTAGCTTTGAGGATTTCGTTGGAAACGGGATTACATATAAAAAGCAGACAGCAGCATTCCCAGAATCTTCTTTGTGATGTTTGCATTCAAGTCACAGAGTTGAACATTCCCTTTCATAGAGCAGGTTTGAAACACTCTTTTTGTAGTATCTGGATGTGGACATTTGGAGCGCTTTCAGGCCTATGGTGAAAAAGGAAATATCTTCCCCTGAAAACTAGACAGAAGCATTCTCAGAATCTTATTTGTGATGTGCGCCCTCAACTAAAAGTGTTGAAGCTTTCTTTCGATAGAGCAGTTTTGAAACACTCTTTTCGTAAAATCTGCAAGAGGATATTTTGATAGCTTTGAGGATTTCGTTGGAAACGGGATTGTCTTCATATAAACTCTAGACAGAAGCATTCTCAGAAGCTTCATTGGGATGTTTCAATTGAAGTCACAGTGTTGAACAATCCCTTTCATAGAGCAGGTTTGAAACACTCCTTTTGTAGTATCTGGAAGTGGACATTTGGAGAGATCTCAGGAATACGGTGATAAAGGAAATATCTTCCAATAAAAGCTAGATAGAAGCATTCTCAGAAACTTATTTGTGATGTGCGCCCTCAACTAACAGTGTTGAAGCTTTCTTTTGATAGAGCAGTTTTGAAACACTCTTTTTGTGGAATCTGCACGTGGATATTTGTCTAGCTTTGAGGATTTCGTTGGAAACGGGATTACATATAAAAAGCAGACAGCTAAGCATTCTCCGAAACTTATTTGTGATGGGCGCCCTCAACTAACAGTGTTGAAGCTTTCTTTTGATAGAGCAGTTTTGAAACACTCTTTTTGTAATATCTGCAAGAGGATATTTGGATAGCTTTCAGGATTTCGTTGGAAACGGGATTGTCTTCATATAAACTCTAGACATAAGCATTCTCAGAATCTTCATTGGGATGTTTCAATTGAAGTCACAGTGTTGAACAGTCCTTTTCATAGAGCAGGTTTGAAACACTCTTTTTGTAGTATCTGGAAGTGGACATTTGGAGCGCTCTCAGGACTACGGTGAAAAAGGAAATATCTTCCAATAAAAGCTACATAGAAGCAATGTCAGAAACTTTTTCATGATGTATCTACTCAGCTAACAGAGTTGAACCTTTCCTTTGAGAGAGCAGTTTTGAAACACTCTTTTTGTGGAATCTGCAGGTGGATATTTGTCTAGCTTTGAGGATTTCGTTGGAAACGGGATTACATATAAAAAGCAGACAGCAGCATTCCCAGAAACTTCTTTGTGATGTTTGCATTCAAGTCACAGAGTTGAACATTCCCTTTCATAGAGCAGGTTTGAAACACTCTTTTTGTAGTATCTGGATGTGGACATTTGCAGCGCTTTCAGGCCTAAGGTGAAAAAGGAAATATCTTCCCCTGAAAACTAGACAGAAGCATTCTCAGAAACTTATTTGTGATGTGCGCCCTCAACTAACAGTGTTGAACCTTTCTTTTGATAGGGCAGTTTTGAAGCACTCTTTGTGTAAAATCTGCAAGAGGATATTTGGATAGCTTTGAGGATTTCGTTGGAAACGGGATTGTCTTCATATAAACTCTAGACAGAAGCATTCTCAGAAGCGTCATTGGGATGTTTCAATTGAAGTCACAGTGTTGAACAGTCCCTTTCATAGAGCAGGTTTGAAACACTCTTTTTGTAGTATCTGGATGTGGACATTTGGAGCGCTTTCAGGCCTATGGTTTAAAAGGAAATATCTTCCCTTGAAAACTAGACAGAAGCATTCTCAGAAACTTATTTGTGATGTGCGCCCTCAACTAACAGTGTTGAACCTTTCTTTTGATAGAGCAGTTTTGAAACACTCTTTTTGTAATATCTGCAAGAGGATATTTGGATAGCTTTGAGGATTTCGTTGGAAACGGGATTACATATAAAAAGCAGACAGCAGCATTCTCAGAAACTTATTTGTGATGTGCGCCCTCAACTAACAGTGTTGAAGCTTTCTTTTGATAGAGCAGTTTTGAAACACTCTTTTTGTAATATCTGCAAGAGGATATTTGGATAGCTTTGAGGATTTCGTTGGAAACGGGATTAATTATACAAAGCAGACAGCAGCATTCTCAGAAGCTTCATTGGGATGTTTCAATTGAAGTCACAGTGTTGAACAGTCCCTTTCATAGAGCATGTTTGAAACAATCTTTTTGTAGTATCTGGAAGTGGACATTTGGAGCGTTCTCAGGACGACAGTGAAAAAGGAAATATCTTCCAATAAAAGCTAGATAGAAGCAATGTGAGAAACTTTTTCATGATGTATCTACTCAGCTAAAAGAGTTGAACCTTTCTTTTGAGAGAGCAGTTTTGAAACACTCTTTTTGTGGAATCTGCAAGTGGATATTTGTCTAGCTTTGAGGATTTCTTTGGAAACGGGATTACATATAAAAAGCAGACAGCAGCATTCCCAGAAACTTCTTTGTGATGTTTGCATTCAAGTCACAGAGTTGAACATTCCCTTTCATAGAGCAGGTTTGAAACACTCTTTTTGTAGTATCTGGATGTGGACATTTGGAGCGCTTTCAGGCCTATGGTGAAAAAGGAAATATCTTCCCCTGAAAACTAGACAGAAGCATTCTCAGAAACTTATTTGTGATGTGCGCCCTCAAATAACAGTGTTGAAGCTTTCTTTTGATAGAGCAGTTTTGAAACACTCTTTTTGTAATATCTGCAAGAGGATATTTGGATAGCTTTGAGGATTTCGTTGGAAACGGGATTGTCTTCATATAAACTCTAGACAGAAGCATTCTCAGAAGCTTCATTGGGATGTTTCAATTGAAGTCACAGTGTTGAACAGTCCCTTTCATAGAGCAGGTTTGAAACACTCTTTTTGTAGTATCTGGATGTGGACATTTGGAGCGCTTTCAGGCCTATGGTGAAAAAGGAAATATCTTCCCCTGAAAACTAGACAGAAGCATTCTCAGAAACTTATTTGTGATGTGCGCCCTCAACTAACAGTGTTGAAGCTTTCTTTTGATAGAGCAGTTTTGAAACACTCTTTTTGTGGAATCTGCAAGTGGATATTTGTCTAGCTTTGAGGATTTCGTTGGAAACGGGATTACATATAAAAAGCAGACAGCTAAGCATTCTCCGAAACTTATTTGTGATGGGCGCCCTCAACTAACAGTGTTGAAGCTTTCTTTTGATAGAGCAGTTTTGAAACACTCTTTTTGTAATATCTGCAAGAGGATATTTGGATAGCTTTCAGGATTTCGTTGGAAACGGGATTGTCTTCATATAAACTCTAGACATAAGCATTCTCAGAGGCTTCATTGGGATGTTTCAATTGAAGTCACAGTGTTGAACAGTTCCTTTCATAGAACAGGTTTGAAACACTCTTTTTGTAGTATCTGGAAGTGGACATTTGGAGCGCTCTAAGGACTATGGTGAAAAAGGAAATATCTTCCAATAAAAGCTACATAGAAGCAATGTCAGAAACTTTTTCATGATGTATCTACTCAGCTAACAGCAGTTGAACCTTTCTTTTGAGACAGCAGTTTTGAAACACTCTTTTTGTGGAATCTGGAAGTGGATATTTGTCTAGCTTTGAGGATTTCGTTGGAAACGGGATTACATATAAAAAGCAGACAGCAGCATTCCCAGAATCTTGTTTGTGATGTTTGCATTCAAGTCACAGAGTTGAACACTCCCTTTCAGAGAGCAGGTTTGAAACACTCTTTTTGTAGTATCTGGATGTGGACATTTGGAGCGCTTTCAGGCCTATGGTGAAAAAGGAAATATCTTCTCCTGAAAACTAGACAGAAGCATTCTCAGAAACTTATTTGTGATGTGCGCCCTCAACTAACAGTGTTGAACCTTTCTTTTGATAGAGCAGTTTTGAAACACTCTTTTTGTAATATCTGCAAGAGGATATTTGGATAGCTTTGAGGATTTCGTTGGAAACGGGATTGTCTTCATATAAACTCTAGACAGAAGTATTCTCAGAAAGCTTCATTGGGATGTTTCAATTGAAGTCACAGTGTTGAACAGTCCCTTTCATAGAGCAGGTTTGAAACACTCTTTTTGTAGTATCCGGATGTGGACATTTGGAGCGCTTTCAGGCCTATGGTGAAAAAGGAAATATCTTCCCCTGAAAACTAGACAGAAGCATTCTCAGAAACTTATTTGTGATGTGCGCCCTCAACTAACAGTGTTGAACCTTTCTTTTGATAGAGCAGTTTTGAAACACTCTTTTTGTAATATCTGCAAGAGGATATTTGGATAGCTTTGAGGATTTCGTTGGAAACGGGATTACATATAAAAAGCAGACAGCAGCATTCTCAGAAACTTATTTGTGATGTGCGCCCTCAACTAACAGTGTTGAAGCTTTCTTTTGATAGAGCAGTTTTGAAACACTCTTTTTGTAATATCTGCAAGAGGATATTTGGATAGCTTTGAGGATTTCGTTGGAAACGGGATTAATTATACAAAGCAGACAGCAGCATTCTCAGAAGCTTCATTGGGATGTTTCAATTGAAGTCACAGTGTTGAACAGTCCCTTTCATAGAGCAGGTTTGAAACACTCTTTTTGTAGTATCTGGAAGTGGACATTTGGAGCGCTCTCAGGACTACGGTGAAAAAGGAAGTATCTTCCAATAAAAGCTAGATAGAAGCAATGTCAGAAACTTTTTCATGATGTATCTACTCAGCTAACAGAGTTGAACCTTTCCTTTGAGAGAGCAGTTTTGAAACACTCTTTTTGTGGAATCTGCAAGTGGATATTTGTCTAGCTTTGAGGATTTCGTTGGAAACGGGATTACATATAAAAAACAGACAGCAGCATTCCCAGTAACTTCTTTGTGATGTTTGCATTCAAGTCACAGAGTTGAACATTCCCTTTCATAGAGCAGGTTTGAAACACTCTTTTTGTAGTATCTGGATGTGGACATTTGGAGCGCTTTCATGCCTAGGGTGAAAAAGGAAATATCTTCCCCTGAAAACTAGACAGAAGCATTCTCAGAAACTTATTTGTGATGTGCGCCCTCAACTAACAGTGTTGAAGCTTTCTTTTGATAGAGCAGTTTTGAAACACTCTTTTTGTAAAATCTGCAAGAGGATATTTGGATAGCTTTGAGGATTTCGTTGGAAACGGGATTGTCTTCATATACAATGCTAGACAGAAGCATTCTCAGAAGCTTCATTGGGATGTTTCAATTGAAGTCACAGTGTTGAACAGTCCCTTTCATAGAGCAGGTTTGAAACACTCTTTTTGTAGTATCGGGATGTGGACATTTGGAGCGCTTTCAGGCCTATGGTGAAAAAGGAAATATCTTCCCCTGAAAACTAGACAGAAGCATTCTCAGAAACTTATTTGTGATGTGCGCCCTCAACTAACAGTGTTGAAGCTTTCTTTTGATAGAGCAGTTTTGAAACACTCTTTTTGTAATATCTGCAAGAGGATATTTGGATAGCTTTGAGGATTTCGTTGGAAACGGGATTAATTATAAAAAGCAGACAGCAGCATTCTCAGAAACTTATTTGTGATGTGCGCCCTCAACTAACAGTGTTGAAGCTTTATTTTGATAGAGCAGTTTTGAAACACTCTTTTTGTAATATCTGCAAGAGAATATTTGGATAGCTTTGAGGATTTCGTTGGAAACGGGATTGTCTTCATATAAACTCTAGAAAGAAGCATTCTCAGAAGCTTCTTTGGGATGTTTCAATTGAAGTCACAGTGTTGAACAGTTCCTTTCATAGAACAGGTTTGAAACACTCTTTTTGTAGTATCTGGAAGTGGACATTTGGAGCGCTCTCAGGACTATGGTGAAAAAGGAAATATCTTCCAATAAAAGCTACATAGAAGCAACGTCAGAAACTTTTTCATGATGTATCTACTCAGCTAACAGAGTTGAACCTTTCTTTTGAGAGAGCAGTTTTGAAACACTCTTTTTGTGGAATCTGCAACTGGATACTTGTCTAGCTTTGAGGATTTCGTTGGAAACGGGATTACATATAAAAAGCAGACAGCAGCATTCCCAGAAACTTCTTTGTGATGTTTGCATTCAAGTCACAGAGTTGAACATTCCCTTTCAGAGAGCAGGTTTGAAACACTCTTTTTGTAGTATCTGTATGTGGACATTTGGAGCGCTTTCAGGCCTATGGTGAAAAAGGAAATATCTTCCCCTGAAAACTAGACAGAAGCATTCTCAGAAACTTATTTGTGATGTGCGCCCTCAACTAACAGTGTTAAACCTTTCTTTTTGTAGAGTAGTTTTGAAACACTCTTTTTGTAAAATCTGCAAGAGGATATTTGGATAGCTTTGAGGATTTCGTTGGAAACGGGATTGTCTTCATATTAACCCTAGACAGTAGTATTCTCAGAAGCTTCATTGGGATGTTTCAATTGAAGTCACAGTGTTGAACAGTCCCTTTCATAGAGCAGGTTTGAAACACTCTTTTTGTAGTATCTGGATGTGGACATTTAGAGCGTTTGCAGGCCTATGGTTTAAAAGGAAATATCTTCCCCTGAAAACTAGACAGAAGCATTCCCAGAATCTTCTTTGTGATGTTTGCATTCAAGTCACAGAGTTGAACATTCCCTTTCATAGAGCAGGTTTGACACACTCTTTTTATAGTATCTGGATGTGGACATTTTGAGCGCTTTCAGGCCTATGGTGAAAAAGGAAATATCTTCTCCTGAAAACTAGACAGAAGCATTCTCAGAATCTTATTTGTGATGTGCGCCCTCAACTAACAGTGTTGAAGCTTTCTTTTGATAGAGCAGTTTTGAAACACTCTTTTTGTAAAATCTGCAAGAGGGTATTTGGATAGCTTTGAGGATTTCATTGGAAACGGGATTGTCTTCATATAAACTCTAGACAGAAGCATTCTCAGAAGCTTCATTGGGATGTTTCAATTGAAGTCACAGTGTTGAACAGTCCCTTTCATAGAGCAGGTTTGAAACACTCTTTTTGTAGTATCTGGAAGTGGACATTTGGAGCGCTCTCAGGACTACGGTGAAAAAGGAAATATCTTCCAATAAAAGCTACATAGAAGCAATGTCAGAAACTTTTTCATGATGTATCTACTCAGCTAACAGAGTTGAACCTTTCTTTTGACAGAGCAGTTTTGAAACACTTTTTTTGTGGAATCTGCAAGTGGATATTTGTCTAGCTTTGAGGATTTCGTTGGAAACGGGATTACATATAAAAAGCAGACAGCAGCATTCCCAGAAACTTCTTTGTGATGTTTGCATTCAAGTCACAGAGTTGAACATTCCCTTTCATAGAGCAGGTTTGAAACACTCTTTTTGTAGTATCTGGATGTGGACATTTGGAGCGCTTTCAGGCCTATGGTGAAAAAGGAAATATCTTCCCCTGAAAACTAGACAGAAGCATTCTCAGAATCTTATTTGTGATGTGCGCCCTCAACTAACAGTGTTGAAGCTTTCTTTTGATAGAGCAGTTTTGAAACACTCTTTTTGTAAAATCTGCAAGAGGATATTTGGATAGCTTTGAGGATTTCGTTGGAAACGGGATTGTCTTCATATAAACTCTAGAAAGAAGCATTCTCAGAAGCATCATGGGGATGTTTCAATTGAAGTCACAATGTTGAACAGTCCCTTTCATAGAGCAGGATTGAAACACTCTTTTTGTAGTATCTGGATGTGGACATTTGAGCGCTTTCAGGCCTATGGTTTAAAAGGAAATATCTTCCCCTGAAAACTAGACAGAAGCATTCTCAGAAACTTATTTGTGATGTGCCCCCTCAACTAACAGTGTTGAAGCTTTCTTTTGATAGAGCAGTTTTGAAACACTCTTTTTGTGGAATCTGCAAGTGGATATTTGTCTAGCTTTGAGGATTTCGTTGGAAACGGGATTACATATAAAAAGCAGACAGCAGCATTCTCAGTAAACTTATTTGTGATGTGCGCCCTCAACTAACAGTGTTGAACCTTTCTTTTGATAGAGCAGTTTTGAAACACTCTTTTTGTAATATCTGCAAGAGGATATTTGGATAGCTTTGAGGATTTCGTTGGAAACGGGATTGTCTTCATATAAACTCTAGACAGAAGCATTCTCAGAAGCTTCATTGGGATGTTTCAATTGAAGTCACAGTGTTGAACAGTCCCTTTCATAGAGCAGGTTTGAAACACTCTTTTTGTAATATCTGGAAGTGGACATTTGGAGCGCTCTCAGGAATACGGTGAAAAAGGAAATATCTTCCAATAAAAGCTAGATAGAAGCAATGTCAGAAACTTTTTCATGATGTATCTACTCAGCTAACAGAGTTGAACCTTTCCTTTGAGAGAGCAGTTTTGAAACACTCTTTTTGTGGAATCTGCAAGTGGATATTTGTCTAGCTTTGAGGATTTCGTTGGAAACGGGATTACATATAAAAAGCAGACAGCAGCATTCCCAGAAACTTCTTTGTGATGTTTGCATTCAAGTCACAGAGATGAACATTCCCTTTCATAGAGCAGGTTTGAAACACTCTTTTTGTAGTATCTGGATGTGGACATTTGGAGCGCTTTCAGGCCTATGGTGAAAAAGGAAATATCTTCCCCTGAAAACTAGACAGAAGCATTCTCAGAAACTTATTTGTGATGTGCGCCCTCAACTAACAGTGTTGAAGCTTTCTTTTGATAGAGCAGTTTTGAAACACTCTTTTTGTAAAATCTGCAAGAGGATATTTGGATAGCTTTGAGGATTTCGTTGGAAACGGGATTGTCTTCATATTAACCCTAGACAGTAGCATTCTCAGAAGCTTCATTGGGATGTTTCAATTGAAGTCACAGTGTTGAACAGTCCCTTTCATAGAGCAGGTTTGAAACACTCTTTTTGTAGTATCTGGATGTGGACATTTCGAGCGCTTTCAGGCCTATGGTGAAAAAGGAAATATCTTCCCCTGAAAACTAGACAGAAGCATTCTCAGAAACTTATTTGTGATGTGCGCCCTCAACTAACAGTGTTGAAGCTTTCTTTTGATAGAGCAGTTTTGAAACACTCTTTTTGTGGAATCTGCAAGTGGATATTTGTCTAGCTTTGAGGATTTCGTTGGAAACGGGATTACATATAAAAAGCAGACAGCAGCATTCTCAGAAACTTATTTGTGATGTGCGCCCTCAACTAACAGTGTTGAAGCTTTATTTTGATAGAGCAGTTTTGAAACACTCTTTTTGTAATATCTGCAAGAGAATATTTGGATAGCTTTGAGGATTTCGTTGGAAACGGGATTGTCTTCATATAAACTCTAGAAAGAAGCATTCTCAGAAGCTTCATTGGGATGTTTCAATTGAAGTCGCAGTGTTGAACAGTCCCTTTCATAGAGCAGGTTTGAAACACTCTTTTTGTAGTATCTGGAAATGGACATTTGGAGAGATCTCAGGAATACGGTGATAAAGGAAATATCTTCCAATAAAAGCTAGATAGAAGCAATGTCAGAAACATTTTCATGATGTATCTACTCAGCTAACAGAGTTGAACCTTTCTTTTGAGAGAGCAGTTTTGAAACACTCTTTTTGTGGAATCTGCAAGTGGATATTTGTCTAGCTTTGAGGATTTCGTTGGAAACGGGATTACATATAAAAAGCAGACAGCTGCATTCCCAGAATCTTGTTTGTGATGTTTGCATTCAAGTCACAGAGTTGAACATTCCCTTTCATAGAGCAGGCTTGAAACACTCTTTTTATAGTATCTGGATGTGCACATTTGGAGCGCTTTCAGGCCTATGGTGAAAAAGGAAATATCTTCTCCTGAAAACTAGACAGAAGCATTCTCAGAATCTTATTTGTGATGTGCGCCCTCAACTAACAGTGTTGAAGCTTTCTTTTGATAGAGCAGTTTTGAAACACTCTTTTTGTAAAATCTGCAAGAGGATATTTGGATAGCTTTGAGGATTTCGTTGGAAACGGGATTTTCTTCATATAAACTCTAGACAGAAGCATTCTCAGAAGCCTCATTGGGATGTTTCAATTGAAGTCACAGTGTTGAACAGTCCCTTTCATAGAGCAGGTTTGAAACACTCTTTTTGTAGTATCTGGAAGTGGACATTTGGAGCGCTTTCAGGCCTATGGTGAAAAAGGAAATATCTTCCTCTGAAAACTAGACAGAAGCATTCTCAGAAACTTATTTGTGATGTGCGCCCTCAACTAACAGTGTTGAAGCATTCTTTTGATAGAGCAGTATTGAAACACTCTTTTTGTGGAATCTGCAAGTGGATATTTGTCTAGCTTTGAGGATTTCGTTGGAAAAGGAATTACATATAAAAAGCAGACAGCAGCATTCTCAGAAACTTATTTGTGATGTGCGCCCTCAACTAACAGTGTTGAACTTTTCTTTTGATAGAGTAGTTTTGAAACACTCTTTTTGTAAAATCTGCAAGAGGATATTTGGATAGCTTTGAGGATTTCTTTGGAAACGGGATTGTCTTCATATAAACTCTAGACAGTAGCATTCTCAGAAGCTTCATTGGGATGTTTCATCTGAAGTCACAGTGTTGAACAGTCCCTTTCATAGAGCAGGTTTGAAACACTCTTTTTGTAGTATCTGGAAGAGGACATTTGGAGCGCTCTCAGGACTACGGTGAAAAAGGAAATATCTTCCAATAAAAGCTAGATAGAAGCAATGTCAGAAACTTTTTCATGATGTATCTACTCACCTAACAGATTTGAACCTTTCTTTTGAGAGAGCAGTTTTGAAACACTCTTTTTGTGGAATCTGGAAGTGGATATTTGTCTAGCTTTGAGGATTTCGTTGGAAACGGGATTACATATAAAAAGCAGACAGCTGCATTCCCAGTAACTTCTTTTTGATGTTTGCATTCAAGTCACAGAGTTGAACATTCCCTTTCATAGAGCAGGTTTGAAACACTCTTTTTGTAGTATCTGGATGTGGACATTTGGAGCGCTTTCAGGCCTATGGTGAAAAAGGAAATATCTTCCCCTGAAAACTAGACAGAAGCATTCTCAGAAACTTATTTGTGATGTGCGCCCTCAACTAACAGTGTTGAAGCTTTCTTTTGATAGAGCAGTTTTGAAACACTCTTTTTGTAATATCTGCAAGAGGATATTTGGATAGCTTTGAGGATTTCGTTGGAAACGGGATTGTCTTCATATAAACTCTAGGCAGAAGCATTCTCAGAAGCGTCATTGGGATGTTTCAATTGAAGTCACAGTGTTGAACAGTCCCTTTCATAGAGCAGGTTTGAAACACTCTTTTTGTAGTATCTGGATGTGGACATTTGGAGCGCTTTAAGCCTATGGTTTAAAAGGAAATATCTTCCCCTGAAAACTAGACAGAAGCATTCTCAGAAACTTATTTGTGATGTGCGCCCTCAACTAACAGTGTTGAAGCTTTCTTTTGATAGAGCAGTTTTGAAACACTCTTTTTGTAATATCTGCAAGAGAATATTTGGATAGCTTTGAGGATTTCGTTGGAAACGGGATTAATTATAAAAAGCAGACAGCAGCATTCTCAGAAACTTATTTGTGATGTGCGCCCTCAACTAACAGTGTTGAAGCTTTATTTTGATAGAGCAGTTTTGAAACACTCTTTTTGTAATATCTGCAAGAGAATATTTGGATAGCTTTGAGGATTTCGTTGGAAACGGGATTGTCTTCATATAAACTCTAGAAAGAAGCATTCTCAGAAGCTTCATTGGGATGTTTCAATTGAAGTCACAGTGTTGAACAGTCCCTTTCATAGAGCAGGTTTGAAACACTCTTTTTGTAGTATCTGGAAGTGGACATTTGGAGCGCTCTCAGGACTACGGTGAAAAAGGAAGTATCTTCCAATAAAAGCTAGATAGAAGCAATGTCAGAAACTTTTTCATGATGTATCTACTCAGCTAACAGAGTTGAACCTTTCCTTTGAGAGAGCAGTTTTGAAACACTCTTTTTGTGGAATCTGCAAGTGGATATTTGTCTAGCTTTGAGGATTTCGTTGGAAACGGGATTACATATAAAAAGCAGACAGCAGCATTCCCAGAAACTTCTTTGTGATGTTTGCATTCAAGTCACAGAGTTGAACATTCCCTTTCATAGAGCAGGTTGGAAACACTCTTTTTGTAGTATCTGGATGTGGACATTTGGAGCGCTTTCAGGCCTATGGTGAAAAAGGAAATATCTTCCCCTGAAAACTAGACAGAAGCATTCTCAGAATCTTATTTGTGATGTGCGCACTCAACTAACAGTGTTGAAGCTTTCTTTCGATAGAGCAGTTTTGAAACACTCTTTTTGTAAAATCTGCAAGAGGATATTTGGATAGCTTTGAGGATTTCGTTGGAAACGGGATTGTCTTCATATAAACTCTAGACAGAAGCATTCTCAGAAGCTTCATTGGGATGTTTCAATTGAAGTCACAGTGTTGAACAGTCCCTTTCATAGAGCAGGTTTGAAACACTCTTTTTGTAGTATCTGGAAGTGGACATTTGGAGCGCTCTCAGGACTACGGTGAAAAAGGAAATATCTTCCAATAAAAGCTAGATAGAAGCAATGTCAGAAACTTTTTCATGATGTATCTACTCAGCTAACAGAGTTGAACCTTTCTTTTGAGAGAGCAGTTTTGAAACACTCTTTTTGTAAAATCTGCAAGAGGATATTTGGATAGCTTTGAGGATTTCGTTGGAAACGGGATTGTCTTCATATAAACTCTAGACAGAAGCATTCCCAGAAACTTCTTTGTGATGTTTGCATTCAAGTCACACAGTTGAACATTCCCTTTCATAGAGCAGGTTTGAAACACTCTTTTTGTAGTATCTGGATGTGGACATTTGGAGCGCTTTCAGCCCTATGGTGAAAAAGGAAATATCTTCTCCTGAAAACTAGACAGAAGCATTCTCAGAATCTTATTTGTGATGTGCGCCCTCAACTAACAGTGTTGAAGCTTTCTTTTGATAGAGCAGTTTTGAAACACTCTTTTTGTAAAATCTGCAAGAGGATATTTGGATAGCTTTGAGGATTTCGTTGGAAACGGGATTGTCTTCATATAAACTCTAGACAGAAGCATTCTCAGAAGCTTCATTGGGATGTTTCAATTGAAGTCACAGTGTTGAACAGTCCCTTTCATAGAGCAGGTTTCAAACACTCTTTTTGTAGTATCTGGATGTGGACATTTGGAGCGCTTTCAGGCCTATGGTTTAAAAGGAAATATCTTCCCCTGAAAACTAGACAGAAGCATTCTCAGAAACTTATTTGTGATGTGCGCCCTCAACTAACAGTGTTGAACCTTTCTTTTGAGAGAGCAGTTTTGAAACACTCTTTTTGTGGAATCTGCAAGTGGATATTTGTCTAGCTTTGAGGATTTCGTTGGAAACGGGATTACATATAAAAAGCAGACAGCAGCATTCTCAGAATCTTATTTGTGATGTGCGCCCTCAACTAACAGTGTTGAACCTTTCTTTTGATAGAGCAGTTTTGAAACACTCTTTTTGTAAAATCTGCAAGAGGATATTTGGATAGCTTTGAGGATTTCTTTGGAAACGGGATTGTCTTCATATAAACTCTAGACAGAAGCATTCTCAGAAGCTTCATTGGGATGTTTCAATTGAAGTCACAGTGTTGAACAGTCCCTTTCATAGAGCAGGTTTGAAACACTCTTTTTGTAGTATCTGGAAGTGGACATTTGGAGCGCTCTCAGGACTGCGGTGAAAAAGGAAATATCTTCCAATAAAAGCTACATAGAAGCAATGTCAGAAACTTTTTCATGATGTATCTACTCAGCTAACAGAGTTGAACCTTTCCTTTGAGAGAGCAGTTTTGAAACACTCTTTTTGTGGAATCTGCAAGTGGATATTTGTCTAGCTTTGAGGATTTCGTTGGAAACGGGATTACATATAAAAAGCAGACAGCAGCATTCCCAGAAACTTCTTTGTGATGTTTGCATTCAAGTCACAGAGTTGAACATTCCCTTTCATAGAGCAGGTTTGAAACACTCTTTTTGTAGTATCTGGATGTGGACATTTGCAGCGCTTTCAGGCATAAGGTGAAAAAGGAAATATCTTCCCCTGAAAACTAGACAGAAGCATTCTCAGAATCTTATTTGTGATGTGCGCCCTCAACTAACAGTGTTGAAGCTTTCTTTTGATAGAGCAGTTTTGAAACACTCTTTTCGTAAAATCTGCAAGAGGATATTTTGATAGCTTTGAGGATTTCGTTGGAAACGGGATTGTCTTCATATAAACTCTAGACAGAAGCATTCTCAGAAGCGTCATTGGGATGTTTCAATTGAAGTCACAGTGTTGAAAAGTCCCTTTCATAGAGCAGGTTTGAAACACTCTTTTTGTAGTATCTGGATGTGGACATTTGGAGCGCTTTCAGGCCTATGGTTTAAAAGGAAATATCTTCCCCTGAAAACTAGACAGAAGCATTCTCAGAAACTTATTTGTGATGTGCGCCCTCAACTAACAGTGTTGAAGCATTCTTTTGATAGGGCAGTTTTGAAAAACTCTTTTTGTGGAATCTGCAAGTGGATATTTGTCTAGCTTTGAGGATTTCGTTGGAAACGGGATTACATATAAAAAGCAGACAGCAGCATTCTCAGTAAACTTATTTGTGATGTGCGCCCTCAACTAACAGTGTTGAACCTTTCTTTTGATAGAGCAGTTTTGAAACACTCTTTTTGTAATATCTGCAAGAGGATATTTGGATAGCTTTGAGGATTTCGTTGGAAACGGGATTGTCTTCATATAAACTCTAGACAGAAGCATTCTCAGAAGCTTCATTGGGATGTTTCAATTGAAGTCACAGTGTTGAACAGTCCCTTTCATAGAGCAGGTTTGAAACACTCTTTTTGTAGTATCTGGAAGTGGACATTTGGAGCGCTCTCAGGACTGCGGTGAAAAAGGAAATATCTTCCAATAAAAGCTACATAGAAGCAATGTCAGAAACTTTTTCATGATGTATCTACTCAGCTAACAGAGTTGAACCTTCCTTTGAGAGAGCAGTTTTGAAACACTCTTTTTGTGGAATCTGCAAGTGGATATTTGTCTAGCTTTGAGGATTGCGTTGGAAACGGGATTACATATAAAAAGCAGACAGCAGCATTCCCAGAATCTTCTTTGTGATGTTTGCATTCAAGTCACAGAGTTGAACATTCCCTTTCATAGAGCAGGTTTGAAACACTCTTTTTGTAATATCTGGATGTGGACATTTGGAGCGCTTTCAGGCCTATGGTGAAAAAGGAAATATCTTCCCCTGAAAACTAGACAGAAGCATTCTCAGAAACTTATTTGTGATGTGCGCCCTCAACTAACAGTGTTGAAGCTTTCTTTTGATAGAGCAGTTTTGAAACACTCTTTTTGTAAAATCTGCAAGAGGATATTTGGATAGCTTTGAGGATTTCGTTGGAAACGGGATTGTCTTCATATACAATCTAGACAGAAGCATTCTCAGAAGCTTCATTAGGATGTTTCAATTGAAGTCACAGTGTTGAACATTCCCTTTGATAGAGCAGGTTTGAAACACTCTTTTTGTAGTATCTGGAAGTGGACATTTGGAGCGCTTTCAGGCCTATGGTGAAAAAGGAAATATTTTCCACTGAAAACTAGACAGAAGCATTCTTAGAAACTTATTTGTGATGTGCGCCCTCAACTAACAGTGTTGAAGCATTCTTTTGATAGAGCAGTTTTGAAACACTCTTTTTGTGGAATCTGCAAGTGGATATTTGTCTAGCTTTGAGGATTTCGTTGGAAACGGGATTACATATAAAAAGCAGACAGCAGCATTCTCAGAAACTTATTTGTGATGTGCGCCCTCAACTAACAGTGTTGAAGCTTTCTTTTGATAGAGCAGTTTTGAAACACTCTTTTTGTAATATCTGCAAGAGGATATTTGGATAGCTTTGAGGATTTCGTTGGAAACGGGATTAATTATACAAAGCAGACAGCAGCATTCTCAGAAGCTTCATTGGGATGTTTCAATTGAAGTCACAGTGTTGAACAGTTCCTTTCATAGAACAGGTTTGAAACACTCTTTTTGTAGTATCTGGAAGTGGACATTTGGAGCGCTCCCAGGACTACGGTGAAAAAGGAAATATCTTCCAATAAAAGCTACATAGAAGCAATGTCAGAAACTTTTTCATGATGTATCTACTCAGCTAACAGAGTTGAACCTTTCTTTGAGAGAGAAGTTTTGAAACACTCTTTTTGTGGAATCTGCAAGTGGATATTTGTCTAGCTTTGAGGATTTCGTTGGAAACGGGATTACATATAAAAAGCAGACAGCAGCATTCCCAGAAACTTCTTTGTGAAATTTGCATTCAAGTCACAGACTTGAACATTCCCTTTCATAGAGCAGGTTTGAAACACTCTTTTTGTAGTATCTGGATGTGGACGTTTGGAGCGCTTTCAGGCCTATGGTGAAAAAGGAAATATCTTCCCCTGAAAACTATACAGAAGCATTCTCAGAATCTTATTTGTGATGTGCGCCCTCAACTAACAGTGTTGAAGCTTTCTTTTGATAGAGCAGTTTTGAAACACTCTTTTTGTAAAATCTGCAAGAGGATATTTGGATAGCTTTGAGGATTTCGTTGGAAACGGGATTGTCTTCATATAAACTCTAGACAGAAGCATTCTCAGAAGCTTCATTGGGATGTTTCAATTGAAGTCACAGTGTTGAACAGTCCCTTTCATAGAGCAGGTTTGAAACACTCTTTTTGTAGTATCTGGATGTGGACATTTGGAGCGCTTTCAGGCATATGGTTTAAAAGGAAATATCTTCCCCTGAAAACTAGACAGAAGCATTCTCAGAAACTTATTTGTGATGTGCGCCTTCAACTAACAGTGTTGAAGCATTCTTTTGATAGAGCAGTTTTGAAACACTCTTTTTGTGGAATCTGCAAGTGGATATTTGTCTAGCTTTGAGGATTTCGTTGGAAACGGGATTACATATAAAAAGCAGACAGCAGCATTCTCAGAAACTTATTTGTGATGTGCGCCCTCAACTAACAGTGTTGAAGCTTTATTTTGATAGAGCAGTTTTGAAACACTCTTTTTGTAATATCTGCAAGAGAATATTTGGATAGCTTTGAGGATTTCGTTGGAAACGGGATTGTCTTCATATAAACTCTAGAAAGAAGCATTCTCAGAAGCTTCATTGGGATGTTTCAATTGAAGTCACAGTGTTGAACAGTCCCTTTCATAGAGCAGGTTTGAAACACTCTTTTTGTAGTATCTGGAAGTGGACATTTGGAGCGCTCTCAGGACTGCGGTGAAAAAGGAAATATCTTCCAATAAAAGCTAGATAGAAGCAATGTCAGAAACTTTTTCATGATGTATCTACTCAGCTAACAGAGTTGAACCTTTCTTTTGAGAGAGCAGTTTTGAAACACTCTTTTTGTGGAATCTGGAAGTGGATATTTGTCTAGCTTTGAGGATTTCGTTGGAAACGGGATTACATATAAAAAGCAGACAGCAGCATTCCCAGTAACTTCTTTGTGATGTTTGCATTCAAGTCACAGAGTTGAACATTCCCTTTCATAGAGCAGGTTTGAAACACTCTTTTTGTAGTATCTGGATGTGGACATTTGGAGCGCTTTCAGGCCTACGGTGAAAAAGGAAATATCTTCCCCTGAAAACTAGACAGAAGCATTCTCAGAATCTTATTTGTGATGTGCGCCCTCAACTAACAGTGTTGAAGCTTTCTTTTGATAGAGCAGTTTTGAAACACTCTTTTTGTAAAATCTGCAAGAGGATATTTGGATAGCTTTGAGGATTTCGTTGGAAACGGGATTGTCTTCATATAAACTCTAGACAGAAGCATTCTCAGAAGCTTCATTGGGATGTTTCAATTGAAGTCACAGTGTTGAACAGTCCCTTTCATAGAGCAGGTTTGAAACACTCTTTTTGTAGTATCTGGAAGTGGACATTTGGAGCGCTTTCAGGCCTATGGTTTAAAAGGAAATATCTTCCCCTGAAAACTAGACAGAAGCATTCTCAGAAACTTATTTGTGATGTGCGCCCTCAACTAACAGTGTTGAAGCTTTCTTTTGATAGAGCAGTTTTGAAACACTCTTTTTGTGGAATCTGCAAGTGGATATTTGTCTAGCTTTGAGGATTTCGTTGGAAACGGGATTACATATAAAAAGCAGACAGCTAAGCATTCTCCGAAACTTATTTGTGATGGGCGCCCTCAACTAACAGTGTTGAAGCTTTCTTTTGATAGAGCAGTTTTGAAACACTCTTTTTGTAATATCTGCAAGAGGATATTTGGATAGCTTTCAGGATTTCGTTGGAAACGGGATTGTCTTCATATAAACTCTAGACATAAGCATTCTCAGAAGCTTCATTGGGATGTTTCAATTGAAGTCACAGTGTTGAACAGTCCCTTTCATAGAGCAGGTTTGAAACACTCTTTTTGTAGTATCTGGAAGTGGACATTTGGAGAGATCTCAGGAATACGGTGATAAAGGAAATATCTTCCAATAAAAGCTACATAGAAGCAATGTCAGAAACTTTTTCATGATGTATCTACTCAGCTAACAGAGTTGAACCTTTCTTTTGAGAGAGCAGTTTTGAAACACTCTTTTTGTGGAATCTGCAAGTGGATATTTGTCTAGCTTTGAGGATTTCGTTGGAAACGGGATTACATATAAAAAGCAGACAGCAGCATTCCCAGAAACTTCTTTGTGATGTTTGCATTCAAGTCACAGAGTTGAACATTCCCTTTCATAGAGCAGGTTTGAAACACTCTTTTTGTAGTATCTGGATGTGGACATTTGGAGTGCTTTCAAGCCTATGGTGAAAAAGGAAATATCTTCCCCTGAAAACTAGACAGAAGCATTCTCAGAATCTTATTTGTGATGTGCGCCCTCAACTAACAGTGTTGAACCTTTCTTTTGATAGAGCAGTTTTGAAACACTCTTTTCGTAAAATCTGCAAGAGGATATTTGGATAGCTTTGAGGATTTCGGTGGAAACGGGATTGTCTTCATATAAACTCTAGACAGAAGCATTCTCAGAAGCTTCATTGGGATGTTTCAATTGAAGTCACAGTGTTGAACAGTCCCTTTCATAGAGCAGGTTTGAAACACTCTTTTTGTAGTATCTGGAAGTGGACATTTGGAGTGCTCTCAGGACTACGGTGAAAAAGGAAATATCTTCCAATAAAAGCTAGATAGAAGCAATGTCAGAAAATTGTTCATGATGTATCTACTCAGCTAACAGAGTTGAACCTTTCTTTTGAGACAGCAGTTTTGAAACACTCTTTTGGTGGAATCTGCAAGTGGATATTTGTCTAGCTTTGAGGATTTCGTTGGAAACGGGATTACATATAAAAAGCAGACAGCAGCATTCCCAGAAACTTCTTTGTGATGTTTGCATTCAAGTCACAGAGTTGAACATTCCCTTTCATAGAGCAGGTTTGAAACACTCTTTTTGTAGTATCTGGATGTGGACATTTGGAGCGCTTTCAGGCCTATGGTGAAAAAGGAAATATCTTCCCCTGAAAACTAGACAGATAAGCATTCTCAGAAACTTATTTGTGATGTGCACCCTCAACTGACAGTGTTGAAGCTTTCTTTTGATAGAGCAGTTTTGAAACACTCTTTTTGTAAAATCTGCAAGAGGATATTTGGATAGCTTTGAGGATTTCGTTGGAAACGGGATTGTCTTCATATAAACTCTAGACAGTAGCATTCTCAGAAGCGTCATTGGGATGTTTCAATTGAAGTCACAGTGTTGAACAGTCCCTTTCATAGAGCAGGTTTGAAACACTCTTTTTGTAGTATCTGGATGTGGACATTTGGAGCGCTTTCAGGCCTATGGTGAAAAAGGAAATATCTTCCCCTGAAAACTAGACAGAAGCATTCTCAGAAACTTATTTGTGATGTGCGCCCTCAACTAACAGTGTTGAAGCTTTCTTTTGATAGAGCAGTTTTGAAACACTCTTTTTGTGGAATCTGCAAGTGGATATTTGTCTAGCTTTGAGGATTTCGTTGGAAACGGGATTACATATAAAAAGCAGACAGCTAAGCATTCTCCGAAACTTATTTGTGATGGGCGCCCTCAACTAACAGTGTTGAAGCTTTCTTTTGATAGAGCAGTTTTGAAACACTCTTTTTGTAATATCTGCAAGAGGATATTTGGATAGCTTTCAGGATTTCGTTGGAAACGGGATTGTCTTCATATAAACTCTAGACATAAGCATTCTCAGAAGCTTCATTGGGATGTTTCAATTGAAGTCACAGTGTTGAACAGTCCCTTTCATAGAGCAGGTTTGAAACACTCTTTTTGTAGTATCTGGAAGTGGACATTTGGAGCGCTCTCAGGACTGCGGTGAAAAAGGAAATATCTTCCAATAAAAGCTAGATAGAAGCAATGTCAGAAACTTTTTCATGATGTATCTACTCAGCTAACAGAGTTGAACCTTTCTTTTGACAGAGCAGTTTTGAAACACTCTTTTTGTGGAATCTGCAAGTGTTTATTTGTCTAGCTTTGAGGATTTCGTTGGAAACGGGATTACATATAAAAAGCAGACAGCAGCATTCCCAGAAACTTCTTTGTGATGTTTGCATTCAAGTCACAGAGTTGAACATTCCCTTTCATAGAGCAGGTTTGAAACACTCTTTTTGTAGTATCTGGATGTGGACATTTGGAGCGCTTTCAGGCCTATGGTGAAAAAGGAAATATCTTCCCCTGAAAACTAGACAGAAGCATTCTCAGAATCTTATTTGTGATGTGCGCCCTCAACTAACAGTGTTGAAGCTTTCTTTTGATAGAGCAGTTTTGAAACACTCTTTTTGTAAAATATGCAAGAGGATATTTGGATAGCTTTGAGGATTTCGTTGGAAACGGGATTGTCTTCATATAAACTCTAGACAGAAGCATTCTCAGAAGCTTCATTGGGATGTTTCAATTGAAGTCACAGTGTTGAACAGTCCCTTTCATAGAGCAGGTTTGAAACACTCTTTTTGTAGTATCTGGAAGTGGACATTTGGAGCGCTCTCAGGACTACGGTGAAAAAGGAAGTATCTTCCAATAAAAGCTAGATAGAAGCAATGTCAGAAACATTTTCGTGATGCATCTACTCAGCTAATAGAGTTGAACCTTTCTTTTGAGAGAGCAGTTTTGAAACACTCTTTTTGTGGAATCTGCAAGTGGATATTTGTCTAGCTTTGAGGATTTCGTTGGAAACGGGATTACATATAAAAAGCAGACAGCAGCATTCCCAGTAACATCTTTGTGATGTTTGCATTCAAGTCACAGTGTTGAACATTCCCTTTCATAGAGCAGGTTTGAAACACTCTTTTTGTAGTATCTGGATGTGGACATTTGGAGCACTTTCAGGCCTATGGTGAAAAAGGAAATATCTTCCCCTGAAAACTAGACAGAAGCATTCTCAGAATCTTATTTGTGATGTGCGCCCTCAACTAACAGTGTTGAAGCTTTCTTTTGATAGAGCAGTTTTGAAACACTCTTTTCGTAAAATCTGCAAGAGGATATTTTGATAGCTTTGAGGATTTCGTTGGAAACGGGATTGTCTTCATATCAACTCTAGACAGAAGCATTCTGAGAAGCTTCATTGGGATGTTTCAATTAAAGTCACAGTGTTGAACAGTCCCTTTCATAGAGCAGGTTTGAAACACTCTTTTTGTAGTATCTGGAAGTGGACATTTGGAGCGCTCTCAGGACTGCGGTGAAAAAGGAAATATCTTCCAATAAAAGCTAGATAGAAGCAATGTCAGAAACTTTTTCATGATGTATCTACTCAGCTAACAGCAGTTGAACCTTTCTTTTGAGACAGCAGTTTTGAAACACTCTTTTTGTGGAATCTGGAAGTGGATATTTGTCTAGCTTTGAGGATTTCGTTGGAAACGGGATTACATATAAAAAGCAGACAGCAGCATTCCCAGAATCCTGTTTGTGATGTTTGCATTCAAGTCACAGAGTTGAACATTCCCTTTCAGAGAGCAGGTTTGAAACACTCTTTTTATAGTATCTGGATGTGGACATTTGGAGCGCTTTCAGGCCTATGATGAAAAAGGAAATATCTTCTCCTGAAAACTAGACAGAAGCATTCTTAGAATCTTATTTGTGATGTGCGCCCTCAACTAACAGTGTTGAAGCTTTCTTTTGATAGAGCAGTTTTGAAACACTCTTTTCGTAAAATCTGCAAGAGGATATTTTGATAGCTTTGAGGATTTCGTTGGAAACGGGATTGTCTTCATATAAACTCTAGACAGAAGCATTCTCAGAAGCGTCATTGGGATATTTCAATTGAAGTCACAGTGTTGAACAGTCCCTTTCATAGAGCAGGTTTGAAACACTCTTTTTGTAGTATCTGGATGTGGACATTTGGAGCGCTTTCAGGCCTATGGTTTAAAAGGAAATATCTTCCCCTGAAAACTAGACAGAAGCATTCTCAGAAACTTATTTGTGATGTGCGCCCTCAACTAACAGTGTTGAAGCTTTCTTTTGATAGAGCAGTTTTGAAACACTCTTTTTGTGGAATCTGCAAGTGGATATTTGTCTAGCTTTGAGGATTTCGTTGGAAACGGGATTACATATAAAAAGCAGACAGCAGCATTCTCAGAAACTTATTTGTGATGTGCGCCCTCAACTAACAATGTTGAAGCTTTCTTTTGATAGAGCAGTTTTGAAACACTCTTTTTGTAATATCTGCAAGAGGATATTTGGATAGCTTTGAGGATTTCGTTGGAAACGGGATTGTCTTCATATAAACTCTAGACAGAAGCATTCTCAGAAGCTTCATTGGGATGTTTCAATTGAAGTCACAGTGTTGAACAGTTCCTTTCATAGAACAGGTTTGAAACACTCTTTTTGTAGTATCTGGAAGTGGACATTTGGAGCGCTCTCAGGACTACGGTGAAAATGGAAATATCTTCCAATAAAAGCTACATAGAAGCAATGTCAGAAACTTTTTCGTGAAGTATCTACTAAGCTAACAGAGTTGAACCTTTCTTTTGAGAGAGCAGTTTTGAAACACTCTTTTTGTGGAATCTGCAAGTGGATATTTGTCTAGCTTTGAGGATTTCGTTGGAAACGGGATTACATATAAAAAGCAGACAGCAGCATTCCCAGTAAACTTCTTTGTGAAATTTGCATTCAAGTCACAGACTTGAACATTCCCTTTCATAGAGCAGGTTTCAAACACTCTTTTTGTAGTATCTGGATGTGGACGTTTGGAGCGCTTTCAGGCCTATGGTGAAAAAGGAAATATCTTCCCCTGAAAACTAGACAGAAGCATTCTCAGAAACTTATTTGTGATGTGCGCCCTCAACTAACAGTGTTGAACCTTTCTTTTGATAGAGTAGTTTTGAAACACTCTTTTTGTAAAATCTGCAAGAGGATATTTGGATAGCTTTGAGTATTTCGTTGGAAACGGGATTGTCTTCATATAAACTCTAGACAGTAGCATTCTCAGAAGCTTCATTGGGATGTTTCAATTGAAGTCACAGTGTTGAACAGTCCCTTTCATAGAGCAGGTTTGAAACACTCTTTTTGTAGTATCTGGATGTGGACATTTGGAGCGCTTTCAGGCCTATGGTTTAAAAGGAAATATCTTCCCCTGAAAAATAGACAGAAGCATTCTCAGAAACTTATTTGTGATGTGCGCCCTCAACTAACAGTGCTGAAGCATTCTTTTGATAGAGCAGTTTTGAAACACTCTTTTTGTGGAATCTGGAAGTGGATATTTGTCTAAATTTGAGGATTTCGTTGGAAACGGGATTACATATAAAAAGCAGACAGCAGCATTCTCAGAAACTTATTTGTGATGTGCGCCCTCAACTAACAGTGTTGAAGCTTTATTTTGATAGAGCAGTTTTGAAACACTCTTTTTGTAATATCTGCAAGAGAATATTTGGATAGCTTTGAGGATTTCGTTGGAAACGGGATTGTCTTCATATAAACTCTAGAAAGAAGCATTCTCAGAAGCTTCATTGGGATGTTTCAATTGAAGTCACAGTGTTGAACAGTCCCTTTCATAGAGCAGGTTTGAAACACTCTTTTTGTAGTATCTGGAAGTGGACATTTGGAGCGCTCTCAGGACTGCGGTGAAAAAGGAAATATCTTCCAATAAAAGCTAGATAGAAGCAATGTCAGAAAATTTTTCATGATGTATCTACTCAGCTAACAGAGTTGAAACTTTCTTTTGAGAGAGCAGGTTGGAAACACTCTTTTTCTGGAATCTGCAAGTGGATATTTGTCTAGCTTTGAGGATTGCGTTTGAAACGGGATTACATATAAAAAGCAGACAGCAGCATTCCCAGAAACTTCTTTGTGATATTTGCATTCAAGTCACAGAGTTGAACATTCCCTTTCATAGAGCAGGTTTGAAACACTCTTTTTGTAGTATCTGGATGTGGACATTTGGAGCGCTTTCAGGCCTATGGTGAAAACGGAAATATCTTCCCCTGAAAACTAGACAGAAGCATTCTCAGAATCTTATTTGTGATGTGCGCCCTCAACTAACAGTGTTGAAGCTTTCTTTTGATAGAGCAGTTTTGAAACACTCTTTTCGTAAAATCTGCAAGAGGATATTTTGATAGCTTTGAGGATTTCGTTGGAAACGGGATTGTCTTCATATAAACTCTAGACAGAAGCATTCTCAGATGCTTCATTGGGATGTTTCAATTGAAGTCACAGTGTTGAACAGTCCCTTTCATAGAGCAGGTTTGAAACACTCTTTTTGTAGTATCTGGATGTGGACATTTGGAGCGCTTTCAGGCCTATGGTGAAAAAGGAAATATCTTCCCCTGAAAACTAGACAGAAGCATTCTCAGAAACTTATTTGTGATGTGCGCCCTCAACTAACAGTGTTGAAGCTTTCTTTTGATAGAGCAGTTTTGAAACACTCTTTTTGTGGAATCTGCAAGTGGATATTTGTCTAGCTTTGAGGATTTCGTTGGAAACGGGATTACATATAAAAAGCAGACAGCAGCATTCTCAGTAAACTTATTTGTGATGTGCGCCCTCAACTAACAGTGTTGAACCTTTCTTTTGATAGAGCAGTTTTGAAACACTCTTTTTGTAATATCTGCAAGAGGATATTTGGATAGCTTTGAGGATTTCGTTGGAAACGGGATTGTCTTCATATAAACTCTAGACAGAAGCATTCTCAGAAGCTTCATTGGGATGTTTCAATTGAAGTCACAGTGTTGAACAGTCCCTTTCATAGAGCAGGTTTGAAACACTCTTTTTGTAGTATCTGGAAGTGGACATTTGGAGCGCTCTCAGGACTACGGTGAAAAACGAAATATCTTCCAATAAAAGCTACATAGAAGCAATGTCAGAAACTTTTTCATGATGTATCTACTCAGCTAACAGAGTTGAACCTTTCTTTTGAGAGAGCAGTTTTGAAACACTCTTTTTGTGGAATCTGCAAGTGGATATTTGTCTAGCTTTGAGGATTTCGTTGGAAACGGGATTACATATAAAAAAGCAGACAGCAGCATTCCCAGAATCTTCTTTGTGATGTTTGCATTCAAGTCACAGAGTTGAACATTCCCTTTCATAGAGCAGGTTTGAAACACTCTTTTTGTAGTATCTGGATGTGGACATTTGGAGCGCTTTCAGGCCTATGGTGAAAAAGGAAATATCTTCCCCTGAAAACTAGACAGAAGCATTCTCAGAATCTTATTTGTGATGTGCGCCCTCAACTAACAGTGTTGAAGCTTTCTTTTGATAGAGCAGTTTTGAAACACTCTTTTTGTAAAATCTGCAAGAGGATATTTGGATAGCTTTGAGGATTTCGTTGGAAACGGGATTGTCTTCATATAAACTCTAGACAGAAGCATTCTCAGAAGCTTCATTGGGATGTTTCAATTGAAGTCACAGTGTTGAACAGTCCCTTTCATAAAGCAGGTTTCAAACACTCTTTTTGTAGTATCTGGATGTGGACATTTGGAGCGCTTTCAGGCCTCTGGTTTAAAAGGAAATATCTTCCCCTGAAAACTAGACAGAAGCATTCCCAGAAACTTCTTTGTGATGTTTGCATTCAAGTCACAGAGTTGAACATTCCGTTTCATAGAGCAGGTTTGAAACACTCTTTTTGTAGTATCTGGATTTGGACATTTGGAGCGCTTTCAGGCCTATGGTGAAAAAGGAAATATCTTCCACTGAAAACTAGACAGAAGTATTCTCAGAAACATATTTGTGATGTGTGCCCTCAACTAACAGTGTTGAAGCTTTCTTTTGATAGAGCAGTTTTGAAACATTCTTTTTGTAAAATCTGCAAGAGGATATTTGGATAGCTTTGAGGATTTCGTTGGAAACGGGATTGTCTTCATATTAACCCTAGACAGTAGCATTCTCAGAAGCTTCATTGGGATGTTTCAATTGAAGTCACAGTGTTGAACAGTCCCTTTCATAGAGCAGGTTTGAAACACTCTTTTTGTAGTATCTGGAAGTGGACATTTGGTGCGTTCTCAGGACTACAGTGAAAAAGGAAATATCTTCCAATAAAAGGTAGATAGAAGCAATGTCAGAAAATTATTCATGATGTATCTACTCAGCTAAAAGAGTTGAACCTTTCTTTTGAGAGAGCAGTTTTGAAACACTCTTTTTGTGGAATCTGCAAGTGGATATTTGTCTAGCTTTGAGGATTGCGTTGGAAACGGGATTACATATAAAAAGCAGACAGCAGCATTCCCAGAAACTTCTTTGTGATGTTTGCATTCAAGTCACAGAGTTGAACATTCCCTTTCTTAGAGCAGGTTTGAAACACTCTTTTTGTAGTATCTGGATGTGGACATTTGGAGCGCTTTCAGGCCTATGGTGAAAAAGGAAATATCTTCCCCTGAAAACTAGACAGAAGCAATGTCAGAAACTTTTTCATGATGTATCTACTCAGCTAACAGAGTTGAACCTTTCTTTTGAGAGAGCAGTTTTGAAACACTCTTTTTGTAAAATCTGCAAGAGGATATTTGGATAGCTTTGAGGATTTCGTTGGAAACGGGATTGTCTGCATATAAACTCTAGACAGAAGCATTCTCAGAAGCGTCATTGGGATGTTTCAATTGAAGTCACAGTGTTGAACAGTCCCTTTCATAGAGCAGGTTTGAAACACTCTTTTTGTAGTATCTGGATGTGGACATTTGGAGCGCTTTCAGGCCTATGGTTTAAAAGGAAATATCTTCCCCTGAAAACTAGACAGAAGCATTCTCAGAAACTTATTTGTGATGTGCGCCCTCAACTAACAGTGTTGAAGCATTCTTTTGATAGAGCAGTTTTGAAACACTCTTTTTGTGGAATCTGCAAGTGGATATTTGTCTAGCTTTGAGGATTTCGTTGGAAACGGGATTAATTATAAAAAGCAGACAGCAGCATTCTCAGAAACTTATTTGTGATGTGCGCCCTCAACTAACAGTGTTGAAGCTTTATTTTGATAGAGCAGTTTTGAAACACTCTTTTTGTAATATCTGCAAGAGAATATTTGGATAGCTTTGAGGATTTCGTTGGAAACGGGATTGTCTTCATATAAACTCTAGAAAGAAGTATTCTCAGAAGCTTCATTGGGATGTTTCAATTGAAGTCACAGTGTTGAACAGTCCCTTTCATAGAGCAGGTTTGAAACACTCTTTTTGTAGTATCTGGAAGTGGACATTTGGAGAGATCTCAGGAATACGGTGATAAAGGAAATATCTTCCAATAAAAGCTAGATAGAAGCAGTGTCAGCAACTTTTTCATGATGTACCTACTCAGCTAACAGAGATGAACCTTTCTTTTGAGAGAGCAGTTTTGAAACACTCTTTTTGTGGAATCTGCAAGTGGATATTTGTCTAGCTTTGAGGATTTCGTTGGAAACGGGATTACATATAAAAAGCAGACAGCTGCATTCCCAGAAACTTCTTTGTGATGTTTGCATTCAAGTCACAGAGTGGAACATTCCCTTACATAGAGCATGTTTGAAACACTCTTTTTGTAATATCTGGATGTGGACATTTGGAGCGCTTTCAGGCCTATGGTGAAAAAGGAAATATCTTCCCCTGAAAACTAGACAGAAACATTCTCAGAATCTTATTTGTGATGTGCGCCCTCAACTAACAGTGTTGAAGCTTTCTTTTGATAGAGCAGTTTTGAAACACTCTTTTTGTAAAATCTGCAAGAGGATATTTGGATAGCTTTGAGGATTTCGTTGGAAACGGGATTGTCTTCATATAAACTCTAGTCAGAAGCATTCTCAGAAGCTTCATTGGGATGTTTCAATTGAAGTCACAGTGTTGAACAGTCCCTTTCATAGAGCAGGTTTGAAACACTCTTTTTGTAGTATCTGGAAGTGGACATTTGGAGCGCTCTCAGGACTGCAGTGAAAAAGGAAATATCTTCCAATAAAAGCTACATAGAAGCAATGTCAGGAAACATTTTCATGATGTATCTACTCAGCTAACAGAGTTGAACCTTTCTTTTGAGAGAGCAGTTTTGAAACACTCTTTTTGTGGAATCTGCAAGTGGATATTTGTCTAGCTTTGAGGATTTCGTTGGAAACGGGATTACATATAAAAAGCAGACAGCAGCATTCTCAGAAACTTCTCTGTGATGTTTGCATTCAAGTCACAGATTTGAATATTCCCTTTCATAGAGCAGGTTTGAAACACTCTTTTTGTAGTATCTGGAAGTGGACATTGAGAGCGCTCTCAGGACTACGGTGAAAAAGGAAATATCTTCCAATAAAAGCTACATAGAAGCATTCTCAGAATCTTATTTGTGATGTGCGCCCTCAACTAACAGTGTTGAAGCTCTCTTTTGATAGAGCAGTTTTGAAACACACTTTTTGTAAAATCTGCAAGAGGATATTTGATTAGCTTTGAGGATTTCGTTGGAAACGGGATTGTCTTCATATAAACTCTAGACAGAAGCATTCTCAGAAGCTTCATTGGGATGTTTCAATTGAAGTCACAGTGTTGAACAGTCCCTTTCATAGAGCAGGTTTGAAACACTCTTTTTGTAGTATCTGGATGTGGACATTTGGAGCGCTTTCAGGCCTATGGTGAAAAAGGAAATATCTTCCCCTGAAAACTAGACAGAAGCATTCTCAGAAACTTATTTGTGATGTGCGCCCTCAACTAACAGTGTTGAAGCATTCTTTTGATAGAGCAGTTTTGAAACACTCTTTTTGTGGAATCTGCAAGTGGATATTTGTCTAGCTTTGAGGATTTCGTTGGAAACGGGATTAATTATAAAAAGCAGACAGCAGCATTCTCAGTAAACTTATTTGTGATGTGCGCCCTCAACTAACAGTGTTGAACCTTTCTTTTGATAGAGCAGTTTTGAAACACTCTTTTTGTAATATCTGCAAGAGGATATTTGGATAGCTTTGAGGATTTCGTTGGAAACGGGATTGTCTTCATATAAACTCTAGACAGAAGCATTCTCAGAAGCTTCATTGGGATGTTTCAATTGAAGTCACAGTGTTGAACAGTCCCTTTCATAGAGCAGGTTTGAAACACTCTTTTTGTAGTATCTGGAAGTGGACATTTGGAGCGCTCTCAGGACTACGGTGAAAAAGGGAATATCTTCCAATAAAAGCTAGATAAAAGCAATGTCAGAAACTTTTTCATGATGTATCTACTCAGCTAACAGAGTTGAATCTTTCTTTTGAGAGAGCAGTTTTGAAACACTCTTTTTGTGGAATCTGCAAGTTGATATTTGTCTAGCTTTGAGGATTTCGTTGGAAATGGGATTACATATAAAAAGCAGACAGCAGCATTCCCAGAAACTTCTTTGTGAAGTTTGCATTCAAGTCACAGAGTTGAACATTCCCTTTCATAGAGCAGGTTTGAAACACTCTTTTTGTAGTATCTGTATGTGGACATTTGGAGCGCTTTCAGGCCTATGGTGAAAAAGGAAATATCTTCCCCTGAAAACTAGACAGAAGCATTCTCAGAATCTTATTTGTGATGTGCGCCCTCAACTAACAGTGTTGAACTTTTCTTTTGATAGAGCAGTTTTGAAACACTCTTTTTGTAAAATCTGCAAGAGGATATTTGGATAGCTTTGAGGATTTCGTTGGAAACGGTATTGTCTTCATATAAACTCTAGACAGAAGCATTCTCAGAAGCTTCATTGGGATGTTTCAATTGAAGTCACAGTGTTGAACAGTCCCTTTCATAGAGCAGATTTGAAACACTCTTTTTGTAGTATCTGGATGTGGACATTTGGAGCGCTTTCAGGCCTATGGTTTAAAAGGAAATATCTTCCCCTGAAAACTAGACAGA